>NC_000007.14:146428076-146579591 GCF_000001405.40 Homo sapiens
CCTTGTTATAACTTTATAGTATTCCATGGCATATATACACCACATTTTCTTTATCTATTCTATCTTTGATGGGCATTTAGGTTGATTTCATGTCTTTGTTACTATTGTGAATAGTGCTGCAATGAACATACACATGTATGTGTCTTTATAATAGAATGATTTATATTCCTTTGCATATATACCCCATATTGGGACTGCTGGGTCAAATGGTATTTCTGCCTCTAGGTATTTGAAGAAACACCACGTTGTCTTCCACAACGGTTGAACTAATTTACATTCCCATCAACAGTGTAAAAGCATTCCTTTTTTTATCCAAAACCTTGCCAGAATCTGTTGTTTTTTGACTTTTTAATAGTAACCATTCTGACTGCTGTGAGATGGTGTCTCATTGTGGTTTTGATTTACGTTTTTTTAATGATCAGTGATGCTAAGCTTTTTTTCATATGTTTGTTGGCATATGTATGTCTTCTCTGGAGAAGTATCTGTTTATGTTCATTGCCCACTTTTTAATGGGGTTGTTTGTTTTTTTTTCTTTTAATTTTTTTTAAGTTCCTTGTAGCCTCTGTATATTAGACCTTTGTCAGATGGATAGATTGCAAAAATCTTCTCCCATTTTGTAGTTTGTCTGTTCACTCTGATGATAGTTTCTTTTGCTGTGCAGAAGCTCTTTAGCTTAATTAGATTCCACTTGTCAATTTTTGCTTTCATTGCAATTGTTTTTGGCGTTTTCATCATGAAATCCTTGCCTGTTGACTATGTCCTGAATGGTATTGCCTAGATTTTCTTCTATGACTGTTATAGTTTGGGGTCTTATATTTTAGTATTTAATCTCTCTTGGGTTAATTTTTCTATCTGGTATAAGGAAGGGGTCAATTTTCAATTTTCTGCATATGGCTAGCAGGGAATCTTTCCTCCATTGCTTGTTTTTGTCAGGTTTGTTGAATATCAGATGGTTGTAGGTGTGCAGTCACATTTCTGAGTTCTCTATTATGTTCCATTGGTCTATGTGTCTGTGTCTGTTCTCATACCAGTACCATGCTGTTTTGGTTATGGTAGCCTTGTAGTATAGTTTGAAGCCAGGTATTGTGATGCCTCCATCATTGTTCTTTTTGCTTGTGATTGTCTTGGCTATTTGGGCTCTTTCTTGGCACCATATGAATTTTAAAATATTTTTTTTTCTAATTCTGTGAAGAATTTCCAATGGTAGTTTAATGGGAATAGCATTGAATCTATAAATTACTTTGGGCAGTATGGACATTTTCATATTGATTCTTCCTATTCATGAGCATGAAGTGTTTTTCCACTTGTTTGTGTTCTAATTTTTTTGAGCAGTGGTTTATAGTTCTCCTTGAAGAGGTCCTTTACTTCCCTTGTTAGTTGTATTCCTAGGTATTTTACTATTTTTGTGGCAGTTGTGAACGGGAGTTCATTCATAATTCTGCTCTCTAGTTTCCTGTTGTTGGTGCATAGCAATGCTAGAAACGTTTTCACATTGATTTTGTATCCTGAGACTTTGCTGAAGTTGTTTATCAGCTTATGGAGCTTTTGGGCTGAGATGATGGGGTTTTCTAGATACAGTGTCATGTCATCTGCAAACAAAAATAATTTGATTTCTTCTCTTCCTATGTGAATATGCTTTATTTCTTTACCTTGCCTGACTGTTCTGGACAGAACTTCCAATGCTATGTTGAATAGGAGTGGTGAGAGAGGGCATCCTTGTTCTGGCTTACAAGGGAAATGCTTCCAGCTTTTGCCCATTCTATATGATATAGGATGTGGGTTTGTTATAGATGGCTCTTATTATTGTGAAGTATGTTCCTTCAACATCTAGTTTATTGAGAGTTTTTAACATGAATGAAGATTGAATTTTATCAAAGGCCTTTTGTGCATCTATTGAGATAATCACATAGTTTTTATATTTAGTTATGTTTATGTGATGAATGACATTTATTAATTGCATATATTGAACCAACCTTGCATCCTAGGGATGAAGCCAACTTGATTGTGTTGGATAAGATTTGATGTGCTGCTAGATTCAGTTTGCCAGTATTTTATTGAGAATATTCGCATCGATGTTCATCAAGGATATTTGCCTGAAGTTTTTTTTTTTTTGTTTTATTTTTTTAATCTCTGCCAGGATGTAACCCATGTCTTAGTGCATTAAGAAACACCAGTGCATGGAGGAAGTCTACTAATAATGCACATGTCCAAATAATCACAGAAAGTATATCTATTTATTTATTTAAAAATCTGTAACTTTGTTCAAAATATTTTTCTGGAACTGGAGTATCTTACAGCAGTAAAAATATTTCCTAAGGTAAAACCAATTTTAGAGTATATACCACTTGTAATATAATCTACCTTTCACTTGATAGTCTTTATCGAATCTTTCACAGAAGTAGACAGGATATGAATGAATGAATAGATAAGCAAATGCAGACATTCTCTTCATTTTATGGAGGCAGTAACTGCTATTAAGTGGTGTTATATAATGTACTCAGGATCTCAGAACAATTAATCAGCATGGCCTGGCTGCACCTCAATTCTTCTAACTACAAGATACTTTTACACCTAAAGCAGCTAGCATTTAATTGACTGTTTTAATAGAAATACAGGGTGATTACCAATCTACTTGATCCTTTTTCAATTCTAATTATTTTTCTACCAAATAATTGCACGTTTTGAGAGTTTCTAAATACTCAACTGTGTGTATAAATCAATGATTAATTTTTCCTTGATTTTAATAATGAAAATAGAGCTTCATATGATCAAGAACCTGAAATAATACAGTTCAATTAACATAATTCCATTAAAAACAAAGGAATGGAACAGTTAATCTATTCGTCGTCACTGTGAGACATAGCAGATGTTCTGTTAGGCTGTTTGAAATATTAGAAGTATTTCATAAGGCTCCTATATCTGTTTTTCTAGACTACATATTGAGAACTGCTGTAATTACAGTATCATCCTCAGTGTTAGATGTAAAATGTTAAGAAAAATCTGTCCATCTGGCAAGAGGAGGTAAAAGTTTGTTAGAGTGGGCAGAAGTTAGGTCTGATAGCACCTAGGTCTAGAGAAACACAAACTCCAGGTAATACATATATTCTAGTAAGGTTTGCTCCATTTAAAAAATACAAACTTATAGAAACAGAAAGGCATTTATTATGCTCATTTAGTAGCAATAAATGCCTTCTAATATCTTTGAAAATTTATCATGCATTCTCTTCTTAAATGTCTTCAATGTGTACAGAGCCCATAGTTAATAACAATTCTAATTATTAAAGAATATTTCCATTGATTTCATTTAAGTCTCTGGTCCTGCAACCTCCATTTGTTGATTTTTGGCTTGGCCCTTTGGAATAACTGCTCAGAACAATCTTATCTTGTACATAAAATTGCTTTAGTTATTCTTCATAAGATATGATTTCTATGTTTATGACTGCAATATTTATAGCCAACCTGTGAAGAGCGTACTATTTGCCAGGCATATTTCTATATGCTTTATGTGAATCAATAATTTAATTTTTATAATAGATCAATGAGTTAAGTTGTATTACCATTTCCATTTTCATAATGAGAAGACTGCGTTATCATAAGGATCAATAGACAAAAGTCACACCAAAGTCACACAGCTGGTTAGTAAGTAAGAAAAAGTTTTGATGGTTGGAACAAAGTCTCACAGCTAGTTAAACAGGGAGCCAGAATTCAAACTCAGACAGCCTGGCTCTAGACTAACACGTTTATTTTGTGCTTTATTAAATACCCAGTTATTGGATTATCCTTCTGGCTCCAGGTTCTTTTTTAAAAATAGCTTTCGTATGATCTGAGAAATATTCTTACATCAAATACATTTGTTTGCTCTCTCTTTGAGATTTCACACACAGAAAAAACATAAATGCTCAATCATTAAAGGTGGTGAAGATAGCTCTTTCTCATCTTGTGGTCCTACTGAAAAGTCATTAAGAACAAGAAATCCTGTCCAATGCCCTGTTATAAAAAGTAATGACAGTAAAGAAATTATTCTGAGCAAAACCAACTAATTTCAACAGTCACAGCAAAAAGTCAAACTCAGAT
This sequence comes from Homo sapiens, assembly GCF_000001405.40. NCBI lineage: Eukaryota > Metazoa > Chordata > Mammalia > Primates > Hominidae > Homo > Homo sapiens. The sequence goes on from NC_000007.14 coordinate 146,432,151, forward strand.
GATTCAATTTACTCATTGATGTAGAAACAGGAGAAAAAAACATATTTGAATCAGATGATCAATGATCAAGGAATGATGTGTTTCCTGTTAAATAATTCTTAATTAAAGAGGAATGTTTTTATAGTTTTTCAATAGAACATCTTGCTATGTATTATTATCTTGAGTCATGCTCACTGTTTTTACATACTATAAAGTTTAAGACATGTTTTACTTTCTTGTCTTAGGAAATTCAGTAAAATAAATAAATTGAATTATATATTTTTTGATCATTCAGAGGTCTAGCATTTTTTATTTTCTTCTAAATATAAATTCTCATTATGAAACTCTGTAAATGTAGAAACTATGGAACAAACAATATATAGAATGCTCTTTGGAGATCAAAAGAAAATTAATCTTTTTCAAGTGATTTTGAAAATGTCCATTCTAGTGGAAGGAATGCTAGCCAGGTAGAAAATGAGGGTTCTAAAAAAACTCTGCCACTAATTCACGTCTTTCCTCATTTGCTAAAATAAAGGAATAGGGTTAAGTGGCCACAAATTCCATTTAGTTCTTTAGTTGCATTATTAGAAAAGTGATGTTTGTTCCTTATTTTTAAAGTGTGAAGAGCAAAACCAAAACTGCAGGTATTTGAAATTAGCTGTACTCTCTTTAATATAGTTTATTGTGTTGATGCATTGGTCTCATAAGAATCAAAGCCTGCATTCTCCGTGCCGGTTGACTTTGGAGCACTAATGAGTTGTAAGTGCATTTATTAAACCAGTATCACTCCACGGCCTAGGCCTTTCTCTACAGAGAAAAGAGCTAATGAAAGGAACTAATGAAAGAGACTCGAGCTAATGAAAACAAAAATCAACTCAACCCCCAAACAATGGTGTCTGGAGTAGCTGAATTATCCTTCCTCCTAAACTAAGAAGTGTCTCGCATTTCCAAACCGTCAGTACTCTATTGTAATTGCTTTTGTTTGGACTACAAAGTGTTTGGGGGCTCCAGAACGTAGGGTGATTAGTGATCCCAATATCCATGTTCTCTCTGCTAAATTGAATTTAGCATATTTGTTACAGGTGATCCCTGGGGCCTTTGTACACACAGAAAGAAATCAAATTAATAATTCAAAACGTAAAAGCTATCTGTTGGTCTCTCTTAACTTAATTTGTTTGGGGTCAGGTCCACACCTTCTAATTCAGAACGCGATTTCAGTGACTCTTGAGCTGTGATGCTCAGTGAATGGAGAGTAGAAAAGCTCGAGGAGACAAATCTCCTTAAACACAATAAAACCGACAGTGGGAGAATTTCCAAAATGGGGTTGTGATTGAAAATACACATTGACAAAGGCTTCTCTTTACTTCTGCTTTTCATAATATAAACTCAAATATGTGTGTACATATATATATTTAAAGTTTCAGACTGCTGTAAAAATTAGTCTGTCTATGGATCCAGAGAGTTCATCTATATCATAGTGGAGGAATGTGGAAGATGAGTGAGAAAGCAAGCATGAAGTCATGAGTTCAGAAAAGATTGCAAAATGCTTCTCTATACAGATGGTCCCTCATCACGCTGTGTTGTGGAGTGTCGTACAGACAACTGTGAAAACATGGAGAGCAGAGTCTTGTGTCTTAAGCCATGCATTGCCTGGTGCAAATGAGAACTCCGTCATGATATGTTGATTTGAATAAATGTATGTACACAAATGTAATCATTTTAGAAGAAGCCCAGTCTTACAGGCATAAGCAGCAAACCTAACCACAGCTTCCACCTTTCAAAAGTCCTTCTTACGGTGCTGAAGGAATTTATTTTGCATTGGTTTGCTGGAAAGAAAATAATGGTCTTGACTATTACAGTTCTTTACTTTCTTCCAGAAAAGCGACCATGGCCTGGGTATGGTTTTCAGACTGCATTTTTACAGAGTATTTAAGGGCAAAGGGGCATTTATTTTTGCCAAACAGACTGAATTTCACAAATGATACATGAGGATTAGTGAATGGTGTTCACTGTAGCATTAAACTGCTTTTTTTATGGCCAGATACCATTCCAATCTAAATCTGCAGAAGCTATTCATGAGAGAATTACACTGTGAGGTTACATTTGGGTTGGTTCTACTCAATAAAGTGACATAAAAAGAAGAGCCAATGTAGTCAACAGAATTTCTAAGAGGCAATCTTATTAGTTTTCTTATTTATAAGCGTGGCTAAAGCATTAATGGTGCTTTCACAGATTTTACGCCATTGTGAATGCATGTTGTCAGGGGACTCTCTGGATCCACAGGCTAATTTTCACAGCAGTCTGAAACTTTCAAGCATGGATTAAAATTATGCTTACCCTTTACTTACTATTAGTTCATAACCCTCAACATTTATGTGAATAATCTAAGTTTCTTTATAAAACATAGAACAGAGTTTGCAGGCATGATACGCTTCAGAAGAGGTGGGAGCACAATTTTAGGCAGGTGGTGAAGAAATTTTGAAACAAATTCTGAATCAAAATTTGTTTAGATTACAAAAATAGAAGATGATATTGTTAATAATAACGGCACAATTATGTAGTTTCTGCTTAACTGTTTCAGCAATGGATTAAAACAATATTAGAGAAGGTTAAAACAATAGAAATTATAATAGCATATTTCTTTGTAGTAAATTAGAAATTTAATATATATTGTTTTATACTTAATTCCTGGGGAAAAAAAAGAAACTTGTGGCAGTTCAGAGTGGATTGCAATAGGATTTATTGAATCCCCTATGTGTGCCAGGCACTCATTCAGGGCCGCTCTGCAGGGCTTTGTGATACACAAATCAAAAGTGTGCAATTCACAGAAACTTCAATGCAAACTTTTCTCTCTCTCTCTTTGTTGTGCAACTCAGGAGCCATGGAAGTTTCTTATTTGATATAGAAAATCAAAAGGTATAGAAGATGAAGTTTCTGCTTTTGAGAAATTTCTACTATGAGGGGAATAGGTGTTACTTTTCAGGATAGTCTCATGGTCAGAGGGTTAATTAACTTGCTTTTGGCCAACATAGCTAGTGGGATGAGTATATAAAATCTGAAATTCAGATGGTCTAATTTAAAATTTAGTGTTATTAACATTATATTGCATTAATTTCTTTTAACCTAAAACTTTGCACCAATAATAAACTTTTTTAACTTATAATTCTTGTAAATTTAACTCCTCTCTCCACCACTGCAAAAAGTGCTTGGCAATGTGAGTACCAGCTGCTTTTAGACCCTGCTAAAAAACTGTGCCCAATATTTTGAGTTTCCATTTCAGTTCTGCGTCTTGTGACTTCTAGTTAAAAGAATTGTGTGCCTTTGTAAGCGTAGAGTTTGTACGAACAAATGATATGAAATCAGTTAGACTTGACATCTAATTTTACATCCGTTAGTTATTTATCAGCTGTAAACATCTCTAGTAGAATTTTAAAATCTCAGTTCCTTGTACATAAAGGGTCATTGAAGAGACCAGTGTTTCGGAGATGTTTGGGAGTATAAATCAGGCAGTATATTATATAGGCACTTAGTACATCTGAGAGAATTGATAAAAACGTGTGTATGTCATGTATGCTAATCACTTCTTAGTAAACATATATTTCAACCCCCTTTATTTAATGCTTTTATTTGGACATATGTTGTAGGAGTCGTTCCTCTCCTCACAACAAGATATGATCATGCTATCATATATTTTAAAGAGTTAAGTTAGGAAATGGAGTCAATTCTCAACAGGAGCTTATCTGCAGTAGATTGCTTTGGTCAAATCCAAGATATACATACAGCTAGTAAATAACATACTTGGTAAATGATATGCCAAGATTTGGCTGAATCCAAAGCCTAAACTTGTATATTTACCAGTATATACTTTCTTTTTGCAAACAATCCAGTTATTGATCACATTTCCCTATAATGCCGATGAGTTATTCAGCAAAAATATGACAGTTTAGGGAATGTCTACATTATTCTTAATTTATAATATAGAAAATACTGTTAATTACCTATAACTAGCACCATGTATCTCTCCTAGCAATACTCTTAGAATAAACCATAGGGCTAAGTCCGCATAATACTTTGGAGATTTTATGTTTTTTGTGATGGGTAAGTGGGTAAAAAAATCTTCATTCCCCATACAAATAGATGATTTTTGACTTAGATTAATAATCAGTGTCTACAAAAGAGGTATGCTCTTATGTTCTTGCTATTAGCAGGCATGTTGATGTGGCTATATATGTTGCAGTGGTGATAATAAAAATGTGGATTCATAATTTTTCACATGTATATTAGAAAACAACATGTGACAATGTCTGTGTTGACATATTTTCCAAATTTAATATAAAACAAAACTATTTCAGTTTTAAAAATAAGCACCTAAGTAATCACAATAAGGGGAGATAATAGGAAAATTTAAAATAATTCACATACTTATAAAATACAATAGGTAACATAAAGCAAAATGATAAATACAGAAAAGCTAAAAACAATAAAACACAGTTTAGAAGAAACAAAAACACAGAGATTATTTGTATCCTGGAAACAGAAACCTCTAAAACTTGATAAATATTTTTAAGAACCTAACTTTAATTTTGAAGGATGCAGTATGAAAACAATTTATGAAATTTCTTAAACAGGACAATAGCAAGTGCTTGGTGTATAAACTCTATGGAACATTAACTATAAACATGTTATTCCGTTATATTAAAGAATGGAGAATATAAAACTGAGAAGAGGCTAAGTAGACTGCCCTGTTGACAAGCAATATCTAAAGCTGTATTGTTAACATTTGTTGACATTGTAGAAATATTAGAAAGACAAGAATCTCTATAAATTATAATTCTAAACCATGGGTCCCCAACTGCCGGGCCACAGACTGATGCTGGTGTATGGCCTGTTAGGAACCGGGCCGCACGGCAGGAGGTGAGCGGTGGCAAGTGAGCATTACTGTCTGAGCTCACCTCCCTTTAGATAGCGTTGGCGTTAGGTTCTCATAGGAGCGTGAACCTTACTGTGAACGTGCATGAGAGGGATTTAGGTTGCGCGCTCCTTATGAGAATCAAGCTAATGCCTGATGATCTTGGGTGGAACACTTTCATCCTGAAACCATCTACCCCAACCTCACCCTCCTGTCCGTGGAAAAATTGTCTTCCATGAAATCAGTCCCTGGTGCCAAAAATGTTGGGGACGACTGTTCTAAACGACAAAACTACTATTTCAAAGATATAAGCATAGCTCATGTATGTATGTGTGGGTTATACACTATTATAACACAGAATAAAATAATAAATGCCATATTGAATCAAAACTATATTTCATATTATCTAGTGAAATGCGTACCATGTTTAAGGTGACTAGAGATAATTTTGGCATCTATTTACCATTCTCCCTCGCATTCATACAAAAATATTATGGTTGAATTGTAAGTGCATTGCTCAAAAATCCTTCTCATGAAACGTAAGCTTATTTAAACCAGTATTTCTCAATTTGTGCTTCATTGACACTTAATCCTATAAAATGGCAAACTAAAAAAATAATTGTACATCAAAATAAGTTTGGTAAATAATGAACTTTAAAATTTCTCCTTAGATGCTGGGATAAATATATTAATGCCTGCTAAACATTCCATTTGTTTCCTTATATTTTCTAGCCTGTTTGGGCACTCAAATTTGTGAGGAGTTATGGCCAAAAAATGTGATCAAAAGTGAAGTGGATTTTGGACTAAGACACTGGAAAACTCATGTGCAATTCCCCAATCTCGTTTTTTTTTTTGTTTGTTTTTGTCCCCTTTCTTACCGGAGTAAGGGAGGAAGCCCCATGTTGCAGATGGTACAACCACAAAATAACAGTACCTGTATTAGCCAGGGGTTGTTATGGAACAGAACATCATTGCTATCCCATGATGGGGACATAGGGTTAACAATATACACATCTTTATTGTTAAGCCCCTAGGAGTTCAGGGTTTGCTATCGAGACGTAATCTAGCTTACATTGGTCATATGCTATACATTATACATATGTATATCTTACTAGCAAGCCCGGAATGCCTAGTATACATATGTGCAATTCGTATCATATAATAAAAAACTCTTAGTCTTCATGCAGTAAAGGGAATTCTCAAACTGTTTCTGTCACATATCCTACAGTTATTTATCCATAGAAGCTTTTTTTTTTTTTAAAGAGTCTATTCATATCCCCTTGATCCAGGGTTCCATGGAACACAGCTTGTGAAACACTGATTTTAGATGGTTTTTCATCTTATTTATTTCATTATCCTTTTTAGCAACAAGGGATCAAACACTGTGAAGGTTTACTCTCTACTGGATAAGAGAGTAAGTCTATCTTTGCCCAAATATTACCTTCAGAAGTTTGGGCTACATATTTATAATGAGCTGAAAACTTGTGTTCATATTTATATTTCTTTTATTAGTTTGCATTTTAATTATATCTAATTTTTCACATTTTCAGACATGGTAGGTTATTTTCATGAAAATAGCAATAATACTACTAAGAGTTTCTTTTTAAATAGTTTTCCAAGTCTTTAATTTAGTTGTTCTTTCCTGGATTTTCTAGAATTCTTTTACTCATAATTGAACACCAAAAACTATTTTTACAATGGTTGTACAATATAATTTCTAAAAGATTAAGATAGGTTTTTTATTGAGCTTTGGTTGATATCTCAAAACATTTAGAGTGGACACCAGGGAATACTGGAAAAATAGGGATTCATTTTGCTATCTAGTTCTTTCTCTCGGGCACACACTTGTTGAACATGGTCTGTCATCCTGAGCATAGATTTTAATGCCTCTAAAATCATTTCTATTCTTCAGGCTATTTTCATACCTTAAGAAGTTTTCTTTTCTAATTTATTCATGTTAGCTTTACATTGCATTTTCAAAAACAGAAAACAGTGTAGGATTTCATTATATCACTTTTTGGATTATTTATTACTAAAAAAAAGTACCGCCACAGGTGGATGGAGTATCTTAACATTAATACATCTGTTCTCTTTTTTAAAACTGGAGAGCACATTTCTCCCCAGAGAAGGGGACTATGTATCCCTTCCTTATATTTCCAGTGTTTAAGATATTCATTTTTTAAAAAACACTCTCTTCAATTTCAAAGACATACACCAAAGTTATGTTTTCTCTCATATAGTATGCTTGTCAAAGTGTTTAGCAGCTTATCTATTGATGTAGATGCCACTAACTTCTTTGACATGAAAACATTTCTTATTCTTTATTTCTCATACTGCTTTTAGAGCCAGTAGCTGGCCTTCTTTTTTCCCTTAAGTATGAATATTCATCAAGGAACTTGTTGGACATTTTTTTGTTTGTCTTCTCTTCTTTCCTCCTGGTATTATATATGTTTATTTAGCCTTAATCATTACTTCAAAGTAGATGATTTGAAAATTGTATGTTCTGTCCAAATCTCATCTAAAAACTCACCCCATATTTCCAGAAGCCCCCAAACAAAATGCCATCTGCATCTACTTCTTCATATTTGAAGTTTAATTTCTACAACTTTCCACAAAACAGAATTTTTTCCTTATTTTCATATATATATGGGAGCAGAATGACTCTTGTCGTAGTCACAAAGGTTCCAACTTGATTAAGCACTTTAGAGAGGTACTTAAAAAAACACCTTTCCTTACATTGTATGCAAAATTAGCATATTTTTCTGGATTTATGAAACAATCCCACTTTCAAATAATCTCTCTCGGATAGGCGTGGTGGCTCACACCTGTAATCTCAGCACTTTGGGAGGCCTACGCCAGTGGATCACCTGAGGTCAGGAGTTCGAGACCAGCCTGGCCAACATTGTGAAACCCTGTCTCTACTAAAAATACAAAAATTAATCGAGTGTGGTGGTGGAAACCTGTAGTCTCAGCAACTCTGGAAGCTGTGGCAGGAGAATCGCTTGAACCCGGGAGGCAGAGGTTGCAGTGAGCTGAGGTTGTGCCACTGCACTGCCCTGTGGGCAACAGAGAGCGACTCCATCTCAAAACAAAACAAAACAAAACAAAAAATCTGTCCTATATTAACATAAGTATATTAAAATTTGACAGACCAGTTGCTGTACTTTTTGGATTGGTTTTTGAAAACATAGACTTTAGTAGTAAGAAACTTAGTGGAGTAAAAGTAAATGAAGATGAGTACTTTTAAAATTTAAAGTGTGGTCAGTTAAAACTTATTTAACCTAACACTCAATTAAGTGTATGAAAAGTGCTGAGATTTATCCATTAATTTTTCTCATAAGAAACTAGATCACGTATTTCTTTTACCAAAATTCTATTTGACATTCAACTTAAAATCCAAAGAGTGTAATGAAAGCCCTTAAGATAATGACTGTGAAATAGCAATATAGCCTGACGTTTAATGAAGTGGATGGGTATGTCTCTTACCTAAAGAGAAGATGTGAAAATTTAAAGTCACACTGGTTATGCTGTCTGTGTGTATATCTTCATTTTTAAAAAAATCAGACTCTTGAGAATTTCATTACCTAGCCCTCCACCAAAACAATGCATCTGCGTAAATATTTCACAATTTTCCATTGTTTTAAAGTTGGCTGATGAGAGGTTACTTAGTACTGTTTGGTATTTTTCCCAAATCTTTTATACCACAACCCGGAAGTACCCATGCCTCACTTGTGGTAACATAAATACATAGATTCATATTTCTGATTAAGTTATAATTATTATTTTACATAAATATCTTGTCTAGTTATCTGAAAAACCTAATATTAGAATTTAAGATAGGGAGATGTTAGTTCAGTGAAGCAGTATCTTCATTACCAAATACGTAATGTGATTGTTGATTGTACATTTGGAATGTCACACAGTTCATTCTTGTTCCCACTGGACATAAATCAAGATGTTACATTGACAACTTGTCCTACAAGTCTAAAATAAGAGTCAGTTTTGTCAGAATTGTAGGCGTATTTCACTTACTCATAAGTTGAAGATTTTGGAGAGATGAACGAGGTGATCAGAGGATACATTCAATAATGTTTTTGACCTTTATTTAAACCCTGTCAGTATGAAAACTTCAGAATAAAACTATAAACATATGTAATGAGTGTGACTGTCAGGTCAAAAATTCAACCGTGAAAAAAATTTTCTCTGGAAGACAACTTAATATCTTTCTTAAGCCCTATTCTTCTGGGTTGGCAAAATAAAATTTTTTGGGGGGTTTGTGACTAAGTTTCAGAGGACTTTCATATTGCAAGACAATTCATATGCAAGTTGTCCTCAAGTCATCTCTCTATGCGGTATCTCCTGAAAGAACTGTCTCCCTATTTGGTCTTCGATTACAGATACACATCAACTCTCTTCCCTGCCCACCTGTTCCTTTCATTTAAAGTGGCCCTCTCTGCTGCTGATTACATGCATGGCCATGGAGATCATTCTCTGGTTTCCATCCATGGATGTCAGTGTCTACAAGATGAGTTCATTGGCCTAAACCTGGCATGCATTTCCTCTTGCTGATGCTCTGGAGTCTACTGAGGAAGGTCCTCTTTGCTCTTGAATCTCGCATTCCTCTCTGGGTTTTTGCCAGTTCCCAAAATCTCTACCTGAGAAGAAGGCATGGAGCTCCTCTCAGCATCGCCTCTCATCTCTTCTGCTGTGTCTCTCTTTTCTTCGCTCCTGGGTCTCCAGCTGGAGACAAGGACACAGAGATGATCAGATATTTACTAGTTTCTGCATTATTGTCTCTTTCCCAAGAAGTCTCATGGAAGAAACAAACAAACAAAAGAGGGTAAAATTGGAAAAGATAAAACATGTAAAGATATTAATTTTTTGTATCTTCCTTGTAAGCTTGACATCATTCTCTTTCAAAACACAAAGGTACTGTCATGTATTTGCACATCCCTCATGTCTTCTGTCATTATTTACTCTTCTGAAATTATTTCTTCTCTTGGAGGAGTACTTTCTCTGTGTAATTTTCAAATGTTGTTTGTGTATATTTCTGTGTGTGGCAAAACTTTTGAAGTCTTCTATTCCAAAGAGTATATATATTTCAACCTCACTTTCAAGTGATGAAATATCTATATATAAAACTGTAAGCCACAAGTTATTTTTCTTTTACACTTTAGAAGGGTTCATCCTTATCTTCTTGCATCGAGGGTTTCTTATGCCCATCTAATTTTTGTTCCTTGTTTCGGGAAGTCTTTTGAATGTTTGCACTTTCTTTACTTAAAATATACTATGATACATCTAAGTGTAGGTTTTTAATTCTAAATGTTATGTGTGTTAGTGGTGAGATAGGTACAAATGCAATAGAGGAAACTAGGAAAAATTCTCAATCCATTTGGGGTGTGTGTGTGTGTGCGTGCGCATGTGTGTGTGTATGTGTGAGTGTGTGTGAAACACCTTCCTCCAAATCTTAATCTTACAGGTCTTTTTACCTCATCAAAAAAACTCAGTAGGTCAAAAACTCTGTGTTGAATTGGTACCTCTTGAAAGAGCCTGATGCCCCACTAACATCTGTGGTCCATCTTGAATGGGGACAGCTTATCACAATAGAAGGAGCTATTGATCGTGACTTATCCTTGAGTCCCCTCCTGCTCACTTGACATTTTTGTGGTATCGTACTAGCCCTGCACAGCACACCTAGCCCTGTTCCGTGGATTTAGCCTTCAGGATTCCAACATTAGTACTTGAGGCTTGAGGACTGAGGAGGTGAGTGTAAGCACTAAGCATTCTTCTTGTCTTGGGTGCAGATTTCACAGTATTTCCAAAGATTCGTTCATACTCCATGGCTTGTGCTTTTGAAGTTTCGTTTTCATTAAAAATAAAAACATGGGCCGGGCGCGGTGGCTGACGCCTGCAATCCCAGCACTTTGGGAGGCCGAGGCGGGCAGATCACCAGGTCAGGAAATCGAGACAATCCTGGCTAGCACAGTGAAACCCCGTTTCTACTAAAAAAAAAATACAAAAAAAAATTAGCTGGGCGTGGTGGCGGGCGACTGTAGTCCCAGCTACTAGGGAGGCTGAGGCAGGGAAATGGCGTGAACTCGGGAGGCGGAGGTTGCAGTGAGTCGAGATCACGCCACTGCACTCCAGCCTTGGTGACAGAGCGAGACTCCGTCTCTAAATAAATAAATAAATAATAAATAAATAAATAAATAAATAAATAGATAAATAAAAGCATGGTCAGGTTTTGAGAATGCTGACATGACTAAAAATAATTATACTTTACGACCATCTTTTCCCTGTAAAGTTAAATGGTAATTGCATAATCGTATTTAGAATAAAAGAGAGTTTCAGAGTGTGCCTCTGCTCTTTCCACCCCTTTCATTCATACCACTATGCTCAGGCCTCCCTGTTTAGAAATTTGGGGACTACTCCTGAGATACAGAGTGAGAAGAAGGAAAAATTAGGACAAAGCCGTAATAACTCTTACTGCTCCCAGTATTTGCATTAATTTTTTGTGTTAAATAATTTAATCCATCTAACAACCAGTTTATAACATTAGTGACCACAGTGTCGTCATTTTGTAACAAAGGCTATTTGGAAAATTACCAAAACCCAAAACTGAGTAAGTAGCAGAGCTATATTTTATATTCAGGTTTTGTCTGCCTGTCAACCACTTTTTTTATAAAGAAGACATCTAGATTAAGAGGCAAAAGACAGAGCTGCTATCCTAGCGCTGTCAATAGTGTGATCTTCCATAAGCCATATAATTTCTTTGTGCCCCAATTTTATCTTTTGTTAATTAATAGCATAAAGCCCTATTCTAGCTGGTTTGAGCATTAAGCAGAATTACATAAGTATAGCCTGTGAATATGGCTAGTATTATCACAGTGTTCTGTATACATTAGCTGAATTTCAGTTTGTGAAAAATTAATCCATATCCCATTTTCTCAGTAGAATAAACTGTCTAATTAGTTGGTATTTATCATGTTATTTATTTATTTATTAAATTTTTTTGACAGAATCTTGCTCTGTTGCCCAGGTTGTAGTGCAGTGGCACAACCTCGGCTCCCTGCAACCTCCGCCTCCTGGGTTCAAGCAATTCTTCTGTCTCAGCCTCCTGGAACTACAGGCACTCGCCACCATGCCTGACAAATTTTCATATTTTTAGTATAAACGGGGTTTCACCACGTTGGCCAGGCTGGTCTCAAACGCCTGACCTCAAGTGATCCACCCACCTCAGCCTCCCAAAGTGCTGGAACTACAGGCATGAACCACCGCACCCAGCCTATCACATTTTTTAACACAGTAAAAATGAACTGACTTACATGAATCAGAAATTTGTATAGTGTAAAGATTTACTAATAATTTAAAGGATACAGGTAATACATAGATACAGGTGGAACATGGCCTGAAGGACCCAGGATTCTTCCTAGGTGGATAGATACATCCTGGACTGGATACATCTGCTGGACCAAAGTAATGGATGAGCCATTGCAATGAAGGTCGCTGTTCACCTCATGTAGCCAGAAGTATCATGAACTGTTGCCACTTTACTGATCATTCAGGGATTACATGACATTTTCCAAGAGCACATGCTTCATAAATCCATAGATCCTCTCTCTCTTTTTTTTTTTTTTGAGACAGCATTTTACTCTGTTGCCTAGGCTAGGGTGCAGTGGCATGATCTCGGCTCACTGCAACTTCTGCCCCCCAGGTTCAAGCGATTCTCCTCCCTCAGCCTCCCGTGTAGCTGGGATTACAGGTGCCTGCCACCATGCCTGGCTAATTTTTGTGTTTTTAGTGGAGACAGCTTTCACCATGTTGGCCAGGCTGGTCTCGAACTCCTGGCCTCAAGTAATCCACCCGCCTCGGCCTCCCAAAATGCTGGGATTACAGGCATGAGCCACCCACCGAGACACATAAGCCACCACGCCCAGCCCATGGATTCTAAGTGTGTTCACCTAAGTGGTTCCACACCAGGGACATTCTGCTCAAATCATTTCATAAACAAAAAAACTTCCTTCTAATAAGTATTAGTACAGTTTCCAGGAAGGGTCAGATTTTATACCAGAGTCACCAAAATTTTTATCCAGGGAGAGAAATAAAACCAGGCTATGTTCAACCCAATCCTCTCCATGTGGCCAAAGTATAATGAGATTGTTGTAATAAATACTGCAGTAAATATTATGATTTTATTTTTTATGCCTGACGTTGTTGTAACTGTAAATGGGGCAAAATCAAATCAAGTATCATAGATTGAGTAGCTGTTGTGTACATGGTAGCTTTGAAAAAAGAGAAATTTACTTGTGATCAAAATTCCTTTCAATGTCTAGAAATGCTTGCCTCTTCTTATGACATGATACCATTCTTATCTTTGAAACAGAATACCTTATATAATAGAAACCTAGAGCAAGCAATTTCACATGAGGTAACAAAAGAGTTCCCAGAGTTTTTCCAGATCAGTGGAAGACTTAAGTACAGGATGGAGGGAAATTTTAAAATTGTTCAAAACAAGAAAGCATTTCCCCATTAGAGAATCAAATAACTGAAGAGAGGGTGTGTGTGTATCTCTTTACAGTTTCTTTTCTTTTTGCTGTTTATGTGCTTGCATTATCAAGACATTTTCCCAATATCCTACTTTTATTTTAGTAGCATTTTCAAAATCTGTATCAAATAAAGATAGCAAGTAGTAGAGCAAGATGAATGAGGGAGGGAGAAAGAATGGATTGGTAGTGGAAACAACATTTCCCACAAGCCTATTTATTGTAGCATTGACAGTAGGAATTCTTATAAATGCTAGGTTAACTTGAAATTCTACCAAATGTCTGTTACTGTTTGTTTTAAATAGAATTCTAGTATCTCGGGTAGGAAATTTATTACAGGCAACCCTAAGAAGATATATTCCCTAAACTCTCCTTCAGGTGATGGGATTAATCTTGGTAAAGTGACTAAGTTGCTTCTTGATGGTTGGTACATTTTGAAAAAGAAGAATCACATTAACTCCAGAGCAGAAAAGAACCGTAGATCATTCTTACTAAGTTCATTGGTCTTACATGTAAATTGAGAAAGATTGCTGAAGGCAAGATTGCCCCAAGGAATTTAACTTGAAATCAAGAGGCTACATAAATGTAAAGTGCTACTGCTTAAATAAAAAATATTATGTTTTAATAATAATCATGATAATATGACACAGTATGAAGCAAATATAGTGAAAACTAGAAAACAGTCTTGGAAACAGTTGCTACATTGTTATTAAGGACTAAACCAATTTAGAGGATCGTGGCTGTGAACATTTTAATATCCCACTCAGCTCCAAATTATCTAGAGAAATCTTCTACACATTCTACAATATGGAATGCCCAAGGCTGAGGGTGTTGCAGAAAATAAGATAAAAAAAAGAAATTATATTTGCAACCAGACTAGCACTTTCTTCAGAACACTGTGATGTCAGTTTCACATCAGTGAACATTTATTCTTAAAAACAAATCCCTATTATTCTTTGCCTCAGTGGTCACTGAGCTAAGAAAAAGACCAGTTGGTTCTAGGGGAAAAAACAAAACAAAACATGTGAGACATTGAAACAGTAAGTGAGAAGTTGGTGAAGGTAGCTCCCAGGTGGATTCTGTCACATGCTGATTTATTTTCAACTCTGAATATTTAGCATTGCACAGAACACTTGAGCAACTCTTGAAGATCCTTATTTAGATGGCTGGAGAGAAATCTACTTGAAATATACAGTATACTCACCTATGAGTCCTGCCCTACCTCAACAAAATATTCCATCGCTTTTATTGTTCTATATTCTATAAAGGCCCAAAAGACTGACTATGGAAGTGGACTGCTTACAACATTTATCTTAGTCCAGCTCTGTATACAGCATATTAATTTTAGACTTTTTAGGTATTCAAAAAGTAGCAATTTATACTAACTATGGCTTCAATACCTAGCAATATTTTTATTTTATTGTTAATTTTGCTTTAAAGATATCTATTATAAAGAGAAAAATTCAAAACAGTATCTTAGGAAGGCACTGGTCAGCTTGCCTAAGAATACAGGTCATATTATGCTATTCAAGTTACATTTCAGATTAATATACTTCTGCTAGATTTATGCTGCATCTAACATTTGGGGGAACAAATGGATGTATTAATATGATTTTAAATGCTGCTCTGTGCTTAACTTTTATTGCTCAATGGAGAGTGTACGCCACAGCACAGTTATGCCAAGAATATGGTTTCAGTAAAAGAAAGGAGCTAATTTATTGTCTCAATAACTAGCTCTTTTCTTATTTGATGTTAAAGAAAGAAATGTGCATGTCTGAAGTTGAGGTTCAGCAATGCATTAGTATTTGCCAAATTATGAGTGACCCTTCTAAAGGCTATAATATTTTAGTTTCACCTATTATGTTATATTTATTTTAGAACCAATTTACAATTTTCAAATTGTTTCCTACATTTTTATTAGTTTTATGATGTAACATAGAATATATACTGACAAAGACAATATTATTTTCTTTGACATTACATAAACCAAAAAATATGCATTGTTATAAAATATGAGAATCTTGCAACTGCAAATCAGAATTGAGAAGCTTTCATGCTTCATTAACACCTGTGCTATAAATTCAGGTTTAACAATTTGATGAAGGAATATTTCAGATTGCAATAATCACAGAAGTATTTATTTTAATAGTTTCAAAGGCCAAGCAGAAATCTGTTACAGTTAATAAACATCCTAAAATGGTTCGTGTATGATAAAAGAATATCAATGGTGTTTACTCATTACTCTGGGGATTGAAATTAAATCATATAAAAAAACTGTGTTTAAGTTCCATATGCATTTGTTCCTTAATTGTCAGTGTTTTGAATTTACGTCATACGCACATTTGAAAAAATGGGGATAACAATTTGTGACCTTTTATTAATAATATTGGCTTCCAAAATTGGATGATAATAAGAGAGTCTCTAAGAGCTTATCTTTTTTCAACAGGAAGCTTCCTCTTATTCTTAATTTAATTCACAAGATTCCCATGAAGTATGTAACTTGAAATAGCATTTACTGAGTAAAGAAAAATGGTTAATGCTACCAACACCAATACATATTTAATGATTGAGAAATGGCTGTTAACTATGACAAAACTATCAAATCACAAATTAAGAGGTGCCTCAGAAATCGATTGTCATCCTTTTATCCACATTTAGGGAAACCAAAACACAGAAAAGTAATGACAATTTTCTAAGACAAAACAGCTTGTCATTCCATAAAGTGGCTACTACAATTGGGTCTCCTGCCTTCCAGCTCAAAATATTTCCCCTATACTCTGTAATTTCAGAAGGGGGATAAAGAATATAGGATTTTTTTTTTAACTTTTTAAAGTTATTTTTATTTCCGTCTCTTTTATTAAATTCTTTGTTTATAGAAGATTGCACTTACCGTTGCTCTGTTCTCATATTTTATAAGCACTTTGTTTTTGTTTTTTTTTTATTATACTTTAAGTTTTAGGGTACATGTGAATATAGGATTTTTACAGTAATCGTTTGTTAAAACATTTTATTTAAAACTAATTAAGATGCATGGAAATTTGCAAAGTTAGTGCAGAGATTCCATGCATTTTAAACTACTTTCCTCTAATGGTTGTATCTTACCAAACTAGCATAATAAATGGATATTGGTATGATGTTTGTGTAATGTCGATCACACATAATCACTGCAATTGGAATATAGAACTATTCTGTTAACACAAAACTTTTCTTCACACTACACCTTTATAGTTAAAAACGTCACCCATCAGCCCTATACATAACAACTTATATCCGTCTGCTGGATGTAGAAACCTTGACTCCCTGTAAGTCCTTTTCAGCTTTGATTATCCCAGCTCCATCCTCTTTCATCTCTTTTTCTGTTACTCTGATGACATGAATGCTAAATCTGTTATTACAGTGCCACAGCTCCCTAAGGCTCTGTTCATTCTTATTTTCAGTCTTTCTTTTCTGTGTTGCCGAGGCAAGGCCATTGATACCATTCTTTCTTCTAATTTACTGATTCTTTCCTCTGCCCTATACATTCTACTGTTGAGTAGATCCTATTGAGTTTTTTATTTTGCTTATTATATTTTCAGTTCTAAGATTTTCATTTGGTTCTTCTTTATATCTTCTATTTCTTTGTTGAGACTTTCTTTCATTGGTTTCAGGAATGTTTATTATTTCTTGTTAAAACATTTTTATGATGGCTGCT
Source organism: Homo sapiens (assembly GCF_000001405.40). Classification (NCBI taxonomy): domain Eukaryota; kingdom Metazoa; phylum Chordata; class Mammalia; order Primates; family Hominidae; genus Homo; species Homo sapiens. Next base: position 146,449,273 of record NC_000007.14, read on the forward strand.
TTAAAATCCTTGTCAGATAATCCCATCTTCTGTGTCATCATAGTGTTGGTATTTTTCTATTATATTATGTAATTTGTGGCCCTTTTTTCCTCTTGTGCATGTTGGTATTTCTGGGTTATTGGCTTCTCTCTATAAGAAAATATATGAAGCAAAAAGAAAATCCAAGGAATTCACTGCCATGTATCCTCAGGTCCCTATGTCCCCAATGAACCTATCTTTTCTCTGCTTTTCAGAATCTTCTTAATGGATGTTTCATCTACAGTATCAATGACTTGGGGCTGCAGTTCACAGAAAGAATAGAGAAATTATGTGTACTCCATCTTGGAGTTGAACTGGTAGCCCTAGCTAGCCCTTTGATATCACAAACACATATGTGATAATGGGTATTATTGAAAGAAAGGAAATATACTTAAAACGACATTTAAGATGGCACCTTAGACAGAATTTTGCATATTTCATGAATGCCCCTAATATTAAACTGGTTGATATGCCTTTTAGTATGATGACAAGCTTTAGTTGACAGTCGTACAAAACCTGTGATTTTACAGATTTCAATCAGTGATGATTGAGAGACGGCACTATCCTGTCAGCACAGAACCATGTTCCTTGTATTCAGGTGAATGAAGATTATTTTTATTAGTGATGTACAATCCAGTTGATTTCTGTGGAGCACTGACATCCAATCTGCCTAGTTATCAGTCCACTATTTCTATACAGAACACAATTTTAATGTCATTCCCGTGTTCCTCAGTATATCCTTACATTATTAAATACGGACATTATGCAAGTTATTTACCAACACTGTTTCTACGTTGTACCTTTTCTAAAAAGCTTTTCTTTTCCAAGGAGATAAAACAACAACAACAACAAAGGTAATAGTCATAATACATTTTAATAATTAATAACATGAACTTTGAGCTATCTTAAAGCCAATATTGCATTTTAAAGAAAATATGACATTTAGCTGTATTAATACTTTGTGTTTTATATCTTATAGCAGTTTCAGTTATCTATTGCTGCATAGCATACCACCCCAAATCTGACAGATTTTAAATGACAGTAATTTATTTCTTATAAATTTGTAAGTATGGAATTCTGTCAGGGCCAAGCTGGTTAGTTCTATTCCACAAGGGTGGGCAGGATTTACTCATTTTCTGCATTAAGCTGGTAGCTGGGATGAAATTTCCAAGAAAACTTGATTAACTTATATGGGACCTAACTTCCTCGTGTGGCTTCTCTACTGCGTTAGTTTTGTTTTCCTTAAGATTCGAAACAGACTTCTAAGAGCATACAAAAATGGAAACCTACAAATCCTCTTAAACGAAGCCACATGTTGTCTATTCTGTCATATTTTACTGGTGAAAACAAATCACCAAGCCAGCCTAGGTTTAAGAGAAAAGGGATAGACTCCACCTCTTGATGAAAGGAAAGACCCAATTTTATTGTAAAAGGCATGTGGAATAAAAGATATTGTTTTATGATCTTATCTTCAATTTTTTTCCTCTTGGAAAATTAACATTTTTGAACCTCAGGGATTTTTACAAATAATTTGTAAATTAAGTAAGCAATTTTCGGTCTTTTAAAATAACACATCACGTAGATTGAATGGGATTTCTTATTTCATAATTTGTAAATAGAGATGCTGTTATTTTCATAGTAAAAATATTTATTTATTTATTTATTTATTTATTTGAGACGGAGTCTTGCCCTGTCGTCCAGGCTGGAGTGCAGTGGCGTGGTCTTGGCTCACTGCAAGCTCTGACCCCCGGGTTCACGCCATTCTCCTGCCTCAGCCTCCCGAGTAGCTGGGACTACAGGCACCGACCACATCACCCAGCTAATTTTTTGTATTTTTAGTACAGACGGGGTTTCACCGTGTTAGCCATGACGGTCTGGATCCCCTGACCTCGTGATCTGCCCACCTTGGCCTCCCAAAGTGCTGGGATTACAGGCGTGAGCCACCGTGCCCAGCCATAAAACTGTTTATTTCTAAATAATTGTAATTGGTCAGTGCAGTTGAGCCTTTATAATGTTTAGAGAATCTATGCCCAATAACAGAGATTTTAAGAGTATTCAGTCGATTTCCCTTTTCTCTGGCATTAACTCAATCAAACCATCTCACTCCTTCATGTGTTGTATAGATTTTCCAGGCTTATCTCTGACCTTTCCACCACTCCACAGCCTACACTCTTGACATAAACAAGGCCAGCTCCATGGGGATGCGACCTATGCATTCCACAGGGTGCTGAACTCAAATAGGCTGCACATTAGGTATAGTGCTCTGCTGTCACTGTCTTGAAATTCTTAATCATTTTTTAACAACGGGCCCTACGTTTTTATTTTGCACTGCGTTGCACAGATTATAAGCCAGTCTTGTTTTTATGTCTAGAATGAGCTTTCTATACCTCACAATATTCTACTGGACAAGTTTTCAAACAGTCTTCAAGACTCAGCTTAAATATCATTTTGATTTTCAAAATTATTCTAATTCCCTAACCCTAGCTATAGAAGGAATAAGAAGAAATAAGGTCTCTTCTATATATATATATACGTATATATATACATATATATATACACGTATTCTATATATATATATACGTATATATACACATATACATATATTTATTTATTTATTATTTATTTATTTATTTTTTGAGATGGAGTCTCACTCTGTCACCCAGGCTGGAGTGCAGTGGCGCGATCTCGACTCACTGCAACCTCTGCCTCTCAGGTTCAAGTGATTCTCCTGCCTCAGCTTCTCAAGTGGCTGGGACTACAGGCACGTGCCACCATACTCAGATAATTTTTATATTTTTAGTAGAGACGGGGTTTCACCATATTAGCCAGGATGGTCTTGATATCTTGACCTCATGATCCACCCACCTCGGCCTCCCAAAGTGCTAGGATTACAGGAGTGAGCCACTGCGCCCGGCCTCTTCTATATATTTTGTCTTCATACCACTTACCATAAACTTCTATTATAATAATTGTTTTATTATTATTTGTGTATTCATTTTCATCCTCCATTAGTTGGGTTTAAAAAGCATGATACTCATTATTACCCACTTAGTAATTTCCCAGTACATAATCTATGACATGTATAGTAAATATTCAATAAATATTTGATTGAATCAAAGAACAAGTGAATAGATTAATGCAATGTAGTTATGTATCCTTCTTTAAAACACTGTACATTGAGGTACGGTATAAATTTGTTCGATAACAGTGTTTGCCTTATATCTCTAGTGAAACTTCTCAGTTATATTTTTGTCTAATTCTCTTTGATCCTCACTGGAAATATAAGACATCTTTTGTTATCAGATATTCAATCGCCTTTATACAGTTATTACTTGAACTTAAATTCTTTCTTTAAACTTAACTTCTCAGAGATAATAAAAGCCATGCATGTGGTTTAACATTTACTTTTACTTAACATTTGCCATTCTGTATGTTTTATTAATTTATATTTGGAAACTCATCTACCACTAGATTCTAAGTCCTTGTAGAAGCTTTTACTTCCAGCCAAGGTGGAGTAGCAGGGACCAAATTTGCTCTCCCCTCTGAAGAAAACATCAACTTAGAGAAAAGAGAATATGAAATAGTGATTTTGCAAGACTCTGAACATGAGTCCATAAAGCTGTAAATGAATAAAGTAGCATGATCTTTGACAGGTTGGAAACAAATTTGAAGAGACCTACAACAGCCCCAGCTACTGTGTGGAAAGAATGATTCCAGGATGTCATGCAGGTCCAGGAGGTTGTCTGTTGTCTCTCTGGGTTGAGGCAGAGCAGTCTTGAAAGGCCAAGCTGGCCATAGTCCTTAGAGAAGACTGGTGGAGAGGAGAGCACTGCACAGAAACGATGTTCCAGAGATCTAAGAAGAAACCCTCCGGAATGTTCAGTGGAGAACTGATTCGGGAGTGTTTGAGGAAACTATCTGAGGCAGGTAAATAACTACTGAAATGATTAAAAGGAACAATTCCTGAAGCTCGCATAGAGCTCAAACTATCTGCTGCTTATTCCCACAATCCAGAGAGAAAAGTCTCATAATTCATGGGGCATGGGATAGAGTTTGCATCAGTAGTAAAGCAAAATTAACCCTACACTAAATGCTGCTCTGATCTCAACTAACAACTTTCAAGCAAGACCCAAAATGTTTCCAAGTAACTTAACTTGTCATAAATGAAGCTTGGAATATTTCTAGGAAACACAAATGTCCAGATCCAATGAGGTAAAATTCACAAGGTCTGTCATCCAATCAAATGTTGCCAAGTATGAACTAAGCAGGAAAATATAACCTAGAATGAGGAGAAAAAAATCCAAAACAATCAATCAATACTGACCAAGAAATAATACTGATGATCAAAGTAGTAAACAAGAACATTTTTGTTTTACTATTGTATCCCATATATTCAAGAAGTGAGAATGATGAGCGAGCATGAAAATTAGAGGTACAGAAGATATAAAAGAGACTCTGATTTAACTTCTAGAGATTATAAAATGCATAGGCTGTGACTGTTGGCAGCTTAGAGATTGTAAAGATGAGTGAAGTTGAAGACAGCAACAGAAACCATTCAAAAGGAAACACAAAGAGAAAAAAATGACTGACAAAAAATTAACAGAGCATCAGTGAGCTATGGGGCAACTTGGGGTCCTAAAAGGGTGGAGAAGCAGGAGAAATGTTTGAAGAAATGAGGAGTGAAAAATTTCCAAATTCGATGAAAACTATCAATTAAAAGATAGAAAATTTTCAAAAAAAATAGAAGTTCAAAAAAATGGAAAAAGCTAAAGTACATCATTATCAAATTGGTTAAAACTAAAGATAAAGATAAAATTTTAAAGTTATGCTATAAACTTCTTGAGTAGGATTGAATGTAGTTCAACATAGTGACATACACAAAATGGCTGCTTATTCTATACTAGTAGATTCATTTTATCAAATAAAATCATTTCTTGTTATAGATATTTTTTAAACCTTAGATCTGTCGGCCATTTCTTAGTATTCCTTAGTATGAAGTATTTCTTACCCCCTTTACGTATTTCTAAGAAGGTAGGTGACATATAACAAATAACTTTGAAATAAAAGTTTTAGTTTGAGTTTGTTTACGCAGAAGCAAGAGATTTTGCAAAAGGAACACTTGTTTTCAATAATGTAATGGTCTAGCTGATGGTCAACTGACTCACCTTTTAAAATTTTTACTGTGTAGTAAGAAAGTTGGGAAGGTAGTGTGAATCCATTTACTTAATCCTGGGACACGTTAAAAAGAGGACTTTATGAAAGTCCTCTTTAGTGTATAAATAAATAATACTTTATGAAGTATTGTATAAATTAGTATATACATAATAGTATATATAAAAATAGGTATACATGAATACTGTATGAAGTATTATTTTCATAAGGCAGCTATATTGATTGCATTGCTGAACTGTAAAAATGATTGCAAACCAAAATAAGAGAGATAGATAGATAGATTAGATAGATAGATAAGATAGATTAGATCATAGATAGATAATAGATAAAAATTAATTGTTTTGGAAAAATTTGGAAATAAAGTGAATATAATAAATACATATATATGTTAGCTTAGAACTGGCATCTGTTAATGGAAAAATTGTATTATACTTTTCCCTCAAAGTTCCTTACTTTCTCTGAAACCAGCCTGTATATAACAATAGCCAGTCCGTATATGGCTACGCAGTTTATCCTGATGTAGTTGCACACCTTCCTTTGTGCCCTGAATGTGGGCTCTTTGAGATCCACTGCTGTTACCACCATCTGGAGACTGCTCGGGCTCCTCTCTCAGTCTGTGGTTTTATGTCAAATCCTTTTATCCTTTAATTTCCACATCTGTACATCCTCCTTAGCACTAAGGCATCTTTTGATAATGATTATAGGCATGCAACATTGCCCTAGATGTAAATCAATCATGGCAAATACCCTTGCAGAGAACAGTATCTCTCTATAAGGACATACAAAAGAAAACTGTATTATGCTTGAAAAGAAATATTTCTGAGATCACTTTATTCTTGATCTCTGAAAGTCATTTTAATCCTGCATTTTTATTCACTGATGTATCCTTGTATCTGCCATCTCTTTCTACACTACATCCTTTTATTTTTCCCAGGGCTAAGTACCCGTATGCTTTTCCTTTCAATTTCAAAATGTGGACCAGATGTTGGGACATAAGTACTAGTTTGGAACAAACATCTGTGCCCTTTTCAGGCAAGAAGAAATGAGAATGAGGTCAGGCATCTGGTTAAGGACACAGGAGGCATCCCTGTCTCGTTTCTTAATTAGTTCTTCTAAGACCTTCTCTCATTCTATACATAATGTTTATAATTTAAAATTCATAGGGTCTTATGTTGAAAGGGAGAAACCACTGTGTGGAATATAAAATAAAAACTCATTTTACAGTGGAAAAATAATTTAATCTATCCAGCTTATTATTTTTCCTGGGCATAAAGAAAATACAATAATTAGGTAGCTGCATATTTTAATAGCTTTTAACGCTGATTGTAAACTCAATACTGAAGAAATTAGTGGTCAGTTGGTCTTTCTATTTTTATTAACGAAAACTGCCAATGAGAGGAAAGCTAATTTAAAAATCGTACAAGAGTAACCTTAAAAGTGACTTAAAACATGAAATATATAAAACACATGAGCCACTTATGCTGTTATAATTTCTAAAGTTATACCATATTGGCTATAAACCATGAATTGATATGAAATCTGAGCACATGCATACATATCACTCATCCTTATACAAGTGGAGAGTTTTTTCTTAAAAAAAAGGGGGAAATGTTTATGTTTCAATATACTTGTTCCATTCCTAATAAATGAAATTCATTGCTGATCTCCATAATGGGAATTCTTGGCTGGTGTCAGATTAAATGTGAATTTTTGGAAGTTTGTGAATGCCAGAAAATAAAAGGTGGTTGATTTCCAAAATCAAAAGTAAGATACTTTAGGTATGTATGTATATATGTATTTTAATGTTTTCAGCAAAGCCAACTAGGAACACAAAAAGCAACAGCAGACTAGCAAATCACAACAAGATTTCCGGGTCAGTCTGCTGGTCAAATGAAAGTTCTTATCTACCTATGATTTAGGTGTAACTAGGAAAGCAAGTTGCTTGACAGAACTGAAAATAGAACAAAAAGTTCCAGATTCATCCAAATCTGAAAGTTTAGATATGGAAAACTTCCTCTGCTTGGGCTTTATATAAATTTTCTGAAGTCTCACAGATCCTTTCAAAGGGTTTGCTGTTACTGAGAATAGAAATAAAATCTCCAGATTCCTCAAAATCTGAGATTCTAGGCCTGGTTTACTTGTTCTTTTGGAGTTTTAATTTTTAATTAATCTTCTCCCAAACTTCCCAAGTTCTCCTTAAGGCCTCACATCAGTTTTTCCAGCTGTGATGCTGTGAAGCAATGCCTTGTCAGCATCAGGCCTAAAAGAGGTCAGTATCCCTTTAAAATAAATCTTAGGGTTTCACTAAAAAAATAAATATGTCTATAAGCATTCAGCTGAATGTGGATGATTTATGCTTCTATACATGCAACAGCCCATTTGCAATTTTGCTTTAATGGGATAGAGAACAGATCTAATTAGTATAAAGAAATTGGTAGGAAAGACAGTCTTAGAAATCATCTAATCCACAAAGTATAAATGACAACTTTCTATTCTTTGTCCATATAAAAATTTTTATGTAATTTAATTAATATTTAAATGTATTTTTTTCAAACTGCATTGCATAACACCTTGATCTTTATTCTACTGGCCTCATTCAGATTAAAGTTTTGCAGATTTTGATGTGGAAAGCACTATGGAATCAAGCCTGAGAGGATCAGAATCATCATTTGTCATTTGCTAAATGCAATGTCAAGTGGTAATTCAAGATAAATGCCTTAAAGATAATTCTGCAGTCACAGACGTATTTTTAGAAGTGTTGAATTAGATTTCATATTCTCAACACTTCTGTGATCTTTATAGAAAGTGATGGACATATGAGGTACATAAACTATAGATAGTTATGATTGTTTTAGAAGCTGAGGTAAAGTGTAATGTCATCAAGGGACTGCATGTGATGAATAAAACTAATGACTAGAAAGTTAATCAGTGTGAATATTCAAAAAATGATTATATATTCATTTTTGAAGCTATAAATGAATCAAATTATAATTTGATTCATTTATAGCTTCAAAAATGAATATATATATATATATATATATATATATATATATATATATATATATATATATATAGTCACCCAGGCTGGAGTGGTGCAGTGGCACGATCTTGGCTCACTGCAACCTCTGCCTCCCAGGTTGAAGAGATTCTCCTGCCTCAGCCTCCTGAGGAGCTGGGACTACAGGTACGTGCCACCATGCCCGGTTAATTTTTTTTATTTTTAGTAGAGACTGGGTTTCACCGTGTTAGCAAGGATGGTCTCGATCTCCTGACCTCATGATCCACCCACCTGGGTCTCCCAAAGTGCTGGGATTACAGGTGTGAACAACTGCGCCTGGCCCAAATAATGTATTTTTATGTTTAATTTGCAAAAATTATTATTTTTATTTATTTCTCAAGGCACATGAGAAAATATCAAAAATTATTTTTAAAAAGCATTAATATATAATATGATCATCACTCAACAATGAGTTACTGTCATACACTTGTTTGAAGGCTACTTAAACTATCCATAAAAGGAACCAAATCATATCCTTTGCAGGGACGTGAATGGAGCTGGGGGTCATTATCCTCAGCAAACTGATGCAGGAACAGAAAGCCAAACACCTCATGTTCTCATTTACAAGTGGGAGTTAACGCTGAGAACACATGGAGGGGAACAACACACACTGGGGCCTGTCAGGGGTATGTGGGGAGGGAGAGCATCAGGAAGAATAGCTAATGGATGCTGGGCTTAATACCTAGGTGATAGGTTGATCTGTGCAGCAAACTACCATCTCACATGTTTACTTCTATAACAAACCTGCACATCCTACACATGTACCCTGGAACTTAAAATAAAAGTTGATGACAAAGAAAAAAAGACTGTGAGATGCATGTTAGATTATTGATATCTAATTAATTTCATTTAATAAATGTCTATTAAGAAAAAAATCCCATCTAATACGAAAACCACGCAGGAATGTACAATAACAAAATCAAAGATTCAGTCACCCTCACATGCATCTCTTTTCTGGAATTTTGGTTTGTAGCACATGCTACAACATTAGACAGTAGGGTTTATGTGGTACAATTTTTGTGGAACATTAGATTTTACATATGTCCTATACACATACATATACATACATACAAATATCTATGTAAAACCTGATTCATTTTGTGTGCCAACTTGACTGGGCTATGGGGTACCCAGATATTTGGTTAGGTATTATTCTGGGTGTTTCTGTGAGTGGTATTTGGGAGGAGACTGATACTTAAATTGGTGGGCTTTGAGTAAAGTAGATTGCCCTCCATAATGTCTGTGGGTCTCCTCCCATCAGTTGAAAGCCTGAATCAAGCAAAAAGATTGGCTTCTCATGAGCAAGAAAGAATTCTCCTTCACAATGCTCACTGCAGATTTAGGACTTGCCACCCTCGATGATTGGCTGAGCTAATTCCTTATAATATGTGTATTTCTCTCTATATATACACATCCTATTGGTTTTGCTTCTCTGGAGAACTCTAATACAATACCCACATAAAATATGTCACTTCTTGTTGGTTATGAAAATACTCTTGCATATCAAAAACTCTCAGCACTACTTAACAATCAGAAGGCAACAAGATTATATTTCTTTCAAATGTAACTCACAGATTCCCCTCTTAATTCCTACCATGTAATGGAGAAATCAGGCCTGCTTCATTTACACCATCTTTGCATGACTTCTACTCACCGATGAAATTGATTTTCTCAAAATAGCATCAACATTAAAATTTGTCCCATGGATGCTGACTCCTTCCATGGTTTTCCAAGAAGGAGAAAATATATAGATGGTTATGTGTAGGTCCATGCGTGTGCATTTTAAGAATACGAATTTCCACATGCTGTTAGCACCAGTCATGTGATATTAGCTCAGCAGGTATTACCACCTCACTCCCTCAGGTAGCTCCAATTGCAAGAGTGATATAGCCAAAACTTACAATTGGAACCTGGTTATAATATCAACATCACAGCACAAATTGCATGTAGCTCAGGTCACTCTCTTTACTTGCCTCCTTGCTTCAAAGGAACTACCTTCTCCTTGCAAATTTACCCAAGCCTATAAAGTGCATGGAGTGTCAGAGAATAAAATACTTCCTGAACATGACATTTGGGTAAAGTTTGATTGTCTAATTATTATGGAAAGAGGAAAGGGAAGGACGCACAAAAAGCCACAAGGAGGTTTTAAAACACAAGGAGGGGCCACTGGACAAGCGCGGTGCCTCACGCCTGTAATCCCAGCACTTTGGGAGGCGGAGGCAGATGAATTGCTTGAGGTCAGGAGTTCAAGACCAGCCTGGCTAACATGGTGAAACCCCATCTCTACAAAAATACAAAAATTAGCCTGGCATGGGGGTACATGCCTGTAGTCCCAGCTACTTGGGAGGCTGAGGCATGAGAATTGCTTGAACTTGGGAGGTAGAGGTTGCAGTGAGCCAAGTTCAGGCCATTGCACTCCAGGCTGGGTGACAGAGCGAGACTCCATCTCAAACAAAAAACAAAACAAAACAAAACAGAAAACAGGGGCTACTGGATGCTTGTGAGAGGCAGAACAGAGGAAGTTTAACAACAAAATGGCGGCCAAGCTTGGGATTTAGAACTATTGGAACAAGAGCAGATTCCTAAACTGGCCAAATCTCAGGAGAATGTTGACAACACCTGTGATAGGTTATATATAAATTAATATACAAATTTTGAAATTGTCAGGAGAATGAAGTCTAGCTTCACAGCAAAAGCAGTTCAATACATTACTTGTTTTAATAAAAAATTATAACAAGGATTATTAATTCTTATTAAGTGTTAACAAGCATGTGGAGAAAAGGGAATTCTTGTATACTGCTGGTGGGAATGTAAATCAGTACAGCCATTATAAAAAAGACAGTATGAAGGTTTCACAAAAAATTAAAAATAGAACTACTCTATGATCTAGCAATCTTACTTCTGGGTATATAGCCAAAGGAAATGAAATTAGTATGTCAAGGAGATATCTGTACTCCATGTTTATTGAAGCACTGTTCGCAATAGCCAAGATATGGAATCAACCCAAATGTCTATTGACTGATAAATGGATAAATAAATTGTATGATATATATGTATATATACTACAACATACACATATATAATGAATATACTACAATATGCAATGAAATACTATGCAACCTTTAAAAAGAAGGAAATCCTGTCCTTTGTGACAACATGAATGAACTGGGAGGATATTATGCTAAGTGAAATAAGCCAGGCACAGAAAGACAAACACTGCATCTCACTTACATGCAGAATCTTAAAAAGTGAACTTACAGAAGTAAAATGTAGAATTGTGGATGTCAGTGTCTGGGGTATAGGGCAGGGAATGGGGAGATACTGGTTAAAGGGTACAAAATTTCAGTTACATAAGATAAGTCAGTTCTACAGATCTATTGTACTGCATGGTAACTATACTTTAAAATAATATGTAATCATGTATTATGCTTTTGAAAATCGCATAGATCCCAAATGTTCTCAGCACAAAAACAAGTATGGGAGGTGATGGATATGTTACTTGGGTGGACTTAATCATTTCACAATGTACACATAGATCAAAACATCACCACTGTACACCATAAAAATATGTAATATTTATTTGTTAATAATACCTTAATAAGGCTGGGCGCGGTGGCTCACACCTGTAATCCCAGCATTATGGGAGGCCGAGGTGGGTGGATCATGAGGTCAGGAGATGGAAACCATCCTGGTAACACGGTGAAACCCCGTCTCTACTAAAAATACAAAAAAAAATTAGCTGGGCGTGGTGGCAGGCACCTGTAGTCCCAGTTACTCAGGAGGCTGAGGCAGGACAATGGCGTGAACCCGGGAGGTGGAGCTTGCAGTGAGCCAAGAGAGCACCACTGCAGTCTGGCCTGGGCAAAAGAGCAAGACTCCGTCTCAAAAAAAAAAAATATAATAATAATAATAATAATACCTTAATAAAGCTGGAAAACAGAAAAAGAAATTTAGTAAGAAGATACAGTAATAACTTTTAGTAGCATTTGTTTATTGCTTTGCAAAAATCTTTAAATTTTTAAAATAAATGTGATTCTCACAGAAAAATTATCTAAGGGAGTTAGAAAACTGTAGTGGAACGTGTCTAGACAAGAATAGGTGAATTGTCTGAATTCAAATCTAGTGAGGAGTAGAATCAGACGTTGGTCCCTTACCTTTTGACTCCGTACACTGTATGTGGTAAAGAATATGTGAAAAATAGGATTCAGTACCTGTCTAAATTTAAGTGTATTTGGGATAGACAACTTAAATACCCACACTAGACAGCATTAAAAGTCACATAATGCTTTCACATAATCATTTGTAGGTCAGTGTTCTGGAAAAAAGGAAAATCAACGTAGACTAGGCTATTTTTATGTCAATGTAAACTGTCACTGCTAAAAATGAACCAGAAATGTGAAAGATAAAATATTTTCTTGTTTCCTAATAAGCTTCTCTCATGCTCCATGGTTATTTTTATTTTTTGAATACAGTGCAAATATTACTTTAAATATTCTAAATTTTTTCTTAGAGTTTTTCATTGAAGAAACTTCTATTTGGCGTAGTGAAAAGACATATTCTCTGAGGCTTGAATGAGTTAGAAGACCTCCGAAAAATAGGTGATATGATCCAGAGAATAGTTTGGAGCCAAAAAGAATAATACCACATGTCACTACCTGGAGTAATTAATACTTCTTGGTGTGTAGCACACTGTTTTATCTCTACTTAAACCAAAGCATAGCCTTGTTTTGTTGTATAATTTATCAGTTCTCTTTTCTTCTTTGTTTCTCCTTTACAATTTTTCTTCTCTTTCTTCAAGAAGAGATCTGAATGAGAATTAGTATGTTTACTAGCTCTGACTCATATGCAGAACCCTGATAAAGAAAACAGATGATCCTCTATTTCCCTACACAGCCACATTCTCCCCCTTCTAACTTCACACATAAAGGGAAGTTGATTATTATCCAGACACTGTCTTCCCTTCTGACCTTGGTGTTTTCCTTTCCGAGCATCTCAGGATACTAATCACTAGTTGATCTCTTTATTAAAGTAACACTGCTCTTGATATTGGTGTGAGATGCACTCCATTAGTACGTTTTGTTTTCAGAATATCTCTTATCAAAGCCAGATATAATATAGCACACAAAATAGTATGTGTTCTGCAATATCAAGAAAGGAGATTTTTTAGTCAAAATATATCATTATTACTGGATAAATACACATGAGGCCCACGCAGAGTTCTTGACATTGGAAAAACTTATTTACTCCTTGTAGCGGGGAATAGTATGTTGACTTAGTAGCATTGTGGATCACATGATTGATCCCTTGCAACAGTTTGGGCGTCTCTCTCATCATCTCTTTCTGAATAGTCCAGAAATTAGTAGTAGTTCTAAAAATTACTTAAATTACCCAACATCAGGCTATTTCCTCAAGTCTTCTTTAGAGGGAAATAACCAGATTGATGGAGGAGGAAACAATGCATCAGACATTAACCTTCCCCCTTGCAGGTGAGGTAGGCCTACACTCCAGTTCGTCATGGGAGCAAGGGAAGGGCAGAAAGAGGAAGTTGAATAGACTAGAAAGTATTAGAGGATAAATGGGAAGAAATAGAGGGAGGAAAATAAAACTGGAAATAAAAACTTAAGACAGAAATAAAAACAAAAAGGAGAGTGATGAATACAAGAAGAGAACTGTTATCTTGCTCAATTCTTCCTGTCTCTGATAATCTATTCTATGTTTCCTCAAGGGCTTTGTTATATTAAATGAGTTTTGCCAGAATTATGTGTACTGTTGCCATGATTTCCATGTATTCACCTTTCTTTTTGAATTCTTCTGTCTCTTCCTCCTTCCCTTCTTTTTGTCTCCTGCTACCCCCATTAGTTCCAAATTCTAAGCAAAGGTAATCTACTCTTCAGTATAAATGAATGTTTCTGTCCAGTGGAATCAATATGTTAAATTATCTTGCCAACCTGTTAACCACGTGTCAGGAACATTGTTCTTAAATGTGATTGTGACAAAGCAACTAGATATCACAGTATACAAGTAATATATATGATACACACACACATATACGTACATATATACATACGTGCACATGCATATATACACATGTATATACATATATGCACATGTATGAATACGAGTAATATATACACATACATATGTGCATGTATGCATGTATATTATATACATGTATACAGATATATACATATGTGTATATGTGTGTATATATATAGAGTAACTTAAAATATTTTGACAAAAATAAGTTTTCATCAATACTAGATTCTAATATAGTGTTAACAAGTGCTAAAATTTAAAAAAATGATGGCAGGTTTGTAAAAAACAATAAAATACAATCTATTCACTTATCTGTTTCCCATAAAAACAGAGAAAGGTTGACATCCTTTGTTTGGTGTGGATCACTATTTTAGGTGAGCCTGGGAGGAATGATTTGAGAAGCAGTGCTTTAGAATATCTGAATTTGAGACCAGATCAGGAAACATGGATATACAATGTGTTTGATCCTGCTATTATTTTAAATTTTCTCCTACTTATTTTCTTATATTCAATTTGGTCACAATGCATTTTCAAAACAAAGCGTTCATTTTTTGACCACAAAAAACAGTTCGTTAATGAACCATCTCAACAGAATACTTTTATTTTGCTCAATGTCTTTCCTTTGAAACTGTTTTTTTTTTTTTTTTTTTGGCTCTCTTTCTTTTCTCTCCAAACAACAAACAAATGAAACCGCAAAAACCCTGTCAATAGAAGTAAAGTTTTTAAGGCAGATTTATTGTCTTTCCTCCTCCCTATCAGAATATTTAATAAGGGTGTGGCTTTGGAAGGAAATTGTCTCAGTGATGGCAGAAGAAATCTACGTAACAGATCATATTGAATATATTGTCCTAAAATGAATTATTTCAGAGAATAGAAGAAAACCTCTTATTTGTTAACTCATCTGCCTTGTGGAAATTGGAAACATAAGCTAATTAACAGTAATCCATAAAACCCATTAGAGGTGTAGATGGGAAAGATACTTTTTGAAGTAGTAAGTCTGTAAATACATAGTTGCACCTTCTTCCCTCTTTTTCTCTTCCTCCTCCTTCTCCTCCTCCAATTCCACAGCTAATATTTTCACTATTTGCGAACTTATCATCATTTTTAATACTGAACACGTTATTCTGAAGTGATCCATCTTGCATTCTAATATCGAGTGCTTCATAAATGAGCAGCCTAGCACCACGCTTAGCACACTATGTTGGAAAGTCTTATAAATGACTTTGATCACAAAATGTTAAGAAAAAGTTGTTTCCAGATTGGCTGGGCAAGCGGGAATGAATTTGAGAGTTGTTTCACTGCATCATTCTGGTTGCAAATACTCTCTTGAATTTTAATGATATTGTAGCCTGCCTCAGTGCTTGGACCCCATCAACTTTACTTCCATTTTCTAGCTGCCTTTTCTGCAGTCTATGATCATTCCATTTCTGAACCTAGTCTGGTGTCTGCTTTAATTGGCCTGCTTTTGTGATTTGTTCAGTTAGATTGGAGCTTTTCAGAAAGATAGTCAGAAGCCCTGCCCATCACCGTATCCCCAGCTGAAGCCTCTTTGACTAGTCTAAACATACACACACACACCACACACACACACACACAGCCCTTTATTTGTGTTTGTGTTTTCTAGTGCAAGATGTTGCAGTCTTGAGTCCAAATACTCAGAGGCTATAAAGGCAACAGTAGCTAGCTAAATTTTTCCCCACTAAAAAGCAAAGATTATGAAGTTTGTTTTTTTAAAGGGATTAAAATGTGGCAGGGTAGCAAAAAGGACTCAGATTGTGGAATGGCCTTGAGCAAAGCATTAAGGTGCAAGTCTGCAGCACAGAACAGTCAGAAACCTACCCAGCTGTGGGTCTTGTTCTTCCTCCATCTAAGTTCCAGAGCTATTAGCAGTTCCAGCTCTAACTCTTCAATGTGACTTTTAGTGAGGTGTGTAGGGTAAATTGAAGTCCTAGGTCTCATTTGTAGAAAAGTATTAGGTGGGCTGTTCCCTAGTCTGTTTGAATCATCAAATCATAGAATTTCTGTGCATTCCATGTATGTGTGGCAGAATCACTTCCCTTTACACAAGATGGCTAAATGTTTAACCAGCTTCTGGAGAGGCATTTAAAAATGGGATCTTCTGAGACTTTGCATGCTGTCTTCAGACCTATCTTGTTTCAGAGTACTAGAGATTGATACGGCAGGATAGGTTATTATAGGAAACATATTTTCGTAGTCCAGAAAATGAGAATTTATTTGGTTTATGTTGTTGTTTTTTTATATGATTCTTTGGCTAAGACACTAAGAATGAAATCTAGTTATTGAAATCAATTTTATCAGGAATTATCACATATACGGTGTATGAAAATTATTATCTGGAAGTTGGAAATTATTTTCTTTGCTCTTTTGTTGAGTCGCTTATTGACTTAAGTGGTGTTTGCTACTTACCTGAGTAGTGGGCATTTGAATTCCAGGACTTTGATTGGACCTCTGGTCTGGTTTTGACTGTTTACGCTGGGCTACACCATAAAAGCTCGTTGGGTTCTAAAGACTGAGGGAAATGATGATGTAAACTAGAATCAAAAAGTTGTTTTTACTTCCAACTAACCAGCAAAGAAGCGATTCTTGAATACCAAGTGAGGGGATTAGGTTCCCTTCACTTCCCTTTCTTTTTGGTAAAAGCTGATACAAAGTGAAGGATGCACCGGGTCAGAGGATCTGAGAGGTGAGAATTCTGACTTTCATGTGAGTGGCTGGGAGTGGGATCACATCAGCTTTCAAATAAGTTTTTGCAGCATCGCTATTAGGAATTCTGTGCTGTTTCGTAGAACTTCATCTTTCCTATACACAATTTCGTTACAGCAGGGCTGCATTTGAACTACAACAATGCTTACCAAATGTGTTTCAACAGGCTGTTGTTTTCAACACTGGTTAACTGTTAAATTTTACCTAATACAAACTGATAGAAAGGATCATTACTACAGATTAGTGAGTACATTTAATCTATCTTTTCACCCTTTTCCCAAATTCCCTTTCCTTTATTCATTTGGACAGCTTTCCCCAACAATATTTATTCTAGATTCCAGTAGAAAATGCTGATTTTGAAGTAATCAGGAATTTATAGCATAATAAAAGAATAATAGTTTTAAGCGTAATAAATGACTGAAATTGCTCATAATTGTTTGATGATTTTAGTCATTGAAAAGCCTGATTAGGCTTCATCTTCTGATCAGACCAATTGTTGAATAATTGACAAGCAACTAATTAATCCTAAAATGAAACAGTCTGATCTAAAATATCCCTACTTAATACTTTATTGTGCTTGGCATACTGCTGTTCCTGTGAAGACAGCTATAGTGTTTTGATGATTATGTGCATAGCTGTAAAAATTAATATGGTTTACACATACCTCTTCAGTAATATATTTTTTATACATTCAAATTTATTTCAATGTACTTTTATCTTGTCCCTCTTTAAACTCTTCTAAGTACAAAGTGGTATCATTGGGGGATTAATGGCTATTTAATAATTTAATGTTAACAAATGACAATATATGAAAGACTTCCATCATTCAAGTAGCCTAAACTATTTGCAAAGAATTTATGAACTCTATCATATTTGAAAATTAGCGTGTTAATTTTAATCAGTTTTCAAGTATATTACCACTTCTTAACTATATTACTACCATCTGGTCTTCTATTCCTTAAAATGTAGAATGTTCTGGTAATTATTTTGCCTTTAAGAAAAACTAATACAAAAACCAAGTATTTGTGATGGAGTCGTTGACATGACTGATTTCAGTATCTCTAAGTAATTAGTTAAAATATGCTTGTTGCTTTCATTAAAAGCAATTTTACACAGACTAATGCAAAAGATGATGGTAGTAAATAGGTTTTCAGGTCATTTCTGATAAAGTTAAATGTGGTTGTCATTTCAATTGATCATTCTGCATCTTTTCCAGACTGTCCATCCATCTCTTGGAACAGCCTGTTCAATAAATTCTACAGGAAATAATTTGGGTGATTTTAGAGAAAGTGCATCCTTAGATTAAATGCTTTTGGGTACTTTTATTTATTTCTATGATGGATAAGAATATATTTCAGAGTGTTAGTTTCCTGATTTATAATTATTGAATTTCCTTGAAAAATAACTATTTGAATAAATCCCAAATGAAATACAAATTCTGTGCATCTCAAGGAAAACAATGAATTCAGGTAAAGTTGATCTAGTACTCACATAACTATATTTACATATGCTAGATAAAATTATTGATTACTTAGCACAAAGTTATAATGTCTTCCTGTTATTGAAATATTGAATAATACCTTGGAATAGTGTGAGAGCAATATTGTTCAATGTAATAGTAGTTGATTAAAAATACATGCATACATGGCAGACTTGACAAGCATCTTATTTATTTTGGGAAAAACTTGTTCAAGAGTTAAACAGTTTCATAAAGAAGGTGCATTTGTGTTCTCTAATACAATCAGGTAAAAGAAAAAAGGTAACTAGAGATAAAACAGAAATCTTGATAGACAGTATAGAAAGATTTTGGGTGCAAAAGAAAGCATAATATTAGACATCTAAAATTTTTTAAAAAGTACATCAAAATTATCTCAATCTGGAGAAAGTCAACGAAGAAAACTAAGAATAATAACACAGTATGATAAAGACCGTGATCCCCCACTTGTAGGTAAGAACATGCATCATGGACATAAAGATGGAGACAATAAAGTGACGACTACTAGAGCAGGGAGGAGTAGAGGGGCAAGATTTGAAAACCTGTTAAGTACTATGCTTAGTACCTGGGTGACTGGATAATTCATACCCCAAACCTCAGAATCATGCAATACACCCAGGTAACAAATCTGCACATGTGCCACCTGAATCTAAAATCAAAGTCAGGAAGAAAAAAAAAAAAAGAAGACAATGATCTGGGTAACACAGGAAGTGCAAGGAGAGTGTACAACCCAGTCTAATGAGTTTCAAGGAAATGTCAAAAGACTGTGAGATTGAACTGACTCTGATAATTATCAGTAGGAATTTGTCTTGCTGTTGTGCTGAAGTTCATGCAAAAATGCTCAACACATAGTTTTTTTTGTTTGTTTGTTTGTTTTTAAAGAATTTCGACAAAGAAATAAGCTCTCTGCTTTGGAAGGTCGGTAAAAGTCTAAGTTGCAACTTAAAAAAAGATGGCAAAGCTGATTCACCTGTTGCTTCTACCTTCCTCAGTAAGAATAAATAGTTGGGAATCTGGAAGGAGTTTAAAAAACTCTGCAAAATGAAAATTATAGACTGAGATAGGTGAAGCAAAAATAAGAGAATGCACAACCAAATTAAATGTTAGTCTCTAGAACCTGATAATATGTCTAAATACTGAAGAATTAGAAAAGTGTTTAAAAAAAACTGTGGAAGAAAAAGAGGCACAGGATACTGTATAGAACACTTGTTTTCTCTGATGTCAAGTAAAAGAAATGATCAGATTCTAAAGGCAATAAATTGATAAGTTAGGACAATTTTTAAAACATTTCCTGAAATACTGTGTTGTTGCAAAGTAATATGCAGCATCCAGCTCCTCCTTCCAGGAAGATCTGCTGTCCCAGTTGCAGGAAGTGCTGGAGGTGAGCTGCCTTTACCTGTCGCCCCCTTTGGGGTTCCCTGAGAGTCTGGCTGAGGGTCAAGCCCACATCACAGCAACCCTTCTCCTTCTGACCAATCCAGCTGCCTTCCCCTCCCTTTCACCAGTGTTTGCCCCAAAGCAAACTCCAGTAGCCATCCTGCACATCATCTCGGTCCCAGAGACTGCTCCCCAAAGAAGATACCCTGAGAAAATGTTGGAAGCATTAAAAAAAAAAAATAGTGCCACTGCCCAGTTAAAGAAACAGAATATGTATAACCATTTCTTTTGAAGCTCATACATGCTCTTTCTCTTCTCAAATTGTTTCCACAAACTTCAGAGGTAACCACTGTCTTAATAATTGACTTTTTTTTTTTTTTTTTTTTTTAAGATGGAATCTTGCTCTGTCACCCAGGCTAGAGTGCAGTGACGCAATCTTGGCTCACTGCAACCTCTGCTTTTTTGGTTCAAATGATTATCATGTCTTAGCCTCCCTAGTAGCTGGAATTACAGGCACCTGCTACCAGGCTTGGCTAATCATTTATTTTTATTTTTAGTGGAGACAGGTTTTCTCCATGTTGGCTAGGCTGGTCTTGAACTCCTGATCGCAAGAGATCCACACGCCTAGGCCTCCCAAAGTGTGCTGGGATTACAGGCGTGAGCCACCAACCCCAGCCTTAATTGACATTTTTTTTTTTTTTTTTTGAGACACAGTCTTACTCTGTCACCCAGGCTGGAGTGCAGTGGAGCAATCTCGGCTCACTGCAAACTCCGCCTCACGGGTTCACGCGGTTCTCCTGCCTCAGCCTCCCGAGTAGCTGGGACTACAGGTGCCCACCACCACGCCCGGCTAATTTTTTGTATTTTTAGTAGAGACAGGGTTTCACCGTGTTAGCCAGGATGGTCTCGATCTCCTGACCTCGTGATCTGCCCGTCTCGGCCTCCCAAAGTGCTGGGATTACAGGCGTGAGCCACTGCGCGCGGCCTTAATTGACTTTTAAACTAATCACTCCTCTGTTTTTCTTTATAAATTTAATCACACATTTGTATTTGTAAACATCATGTTTTATTTTGCATATTTTTGAAATTTATATACATGGAATGAGTCTGTTGATAGTATTCTTTATTTTGTTTTCTTTACCAAGGCAGCTGAAGATGCAAGGGAATAGAAGATGAGTTCACAAAGAAAAAATAAAGAGATAATAAATAAACATCATTAATGAAGGGCATATAGAGAAACAACTCTTACTTGCAAAATGCCTAGCACATATGACTCCCACTACCTGATACGTCCCTTTCTCCTTTCTCTGCCTGGTGGAGACTTGCCCAGATATTGCCTCTTCTTTCCTGAATGAATCTTTCTAATTTTTCTTGGTTGTGTTTCTTGCTATCCCTAACTGCCATATTTTATTTTATTTTATTTTGTTTCATTTGTTGAGACGGAATCTCGCTCTGTCACCAGGCTGGAGTACAGTGGCACAGTCTCGGCTCACTGCAACCTCCGCCTCCTGGGATCAAGCAATGCTCCTGCCTCAGCCTCCCGAGTAGCTGGGATTACAGGTACGCACCACCACATCCAGCTAATATTTGTATTTTTAGTAGATACAGGGTTTCACCATGTCGGCCAGGATGGTCTTGAGCTCCTGACTTCATGATCCGCCTGCCTGGGCCTCCCAAAGTGCTGAGATTACAGGCATGAACCACCGTGCCAAGCCCATATTTTATTTTTTTTTATCTGAATCCCATGTATCTATTTTACTAAGTAGCCCAGCCAGATAAGAGTAAGCCTTACTAACAAGAATTCTGTAAAAAGTCTTCCTACCTTTGCTTTCAGAACCATGGACCCAATTACCAATTTTCTGTTTGTAACGATACTTACATGGGTTAATAAAAAATACAATATTCACAGAATGATTGGGAGTGGAATAAGAATCACATATTATTCCCCAAAAAGAGTTAGACAAATTTAAGTTATATTGAAAACAAGCAATAAACAATACAGGTGGATCTGATAAAAATCTTAATCCAGGTTCACTAGAAAATTTGATGAAAACATGATCTGGGTGAGAACTTGCTCTTGTTCTCCATTGTTTACTGGCCTTCCTCTGTCTGGCCACATCCTGCAACATAGAAGTCACTTCCTTGAATCAGAGTTTCAGACAAGTCTTAAGTCGAACCTTTGATAGCTTCAAGTTCTCCTTATTAGCTTGTATGAGCTGTATACATTTTTAAGTCTTAAAATATTCTTGGTTCTCTGCTTTTATGCTATAAGGCATCTCAGCTGTGAATCAACAATGGAGAAATAGCTGCTGGGTTTAATTGGACCCAATAGTCTTTTCTGATGGCAAAAATGTAATGAGTTCCATGATGTTTGCTGTGATAGAGCACTCCTTTCTGTTCCATTTCCATGTGGCCTTGTGCCAGCATAATGAATGCCTCACACATAGTAGTTTCTCAATTTGTGTGTGCAGATTCAATAACAAATGAATGCTCAAATGAAATCTCAATAAGATAAATGGCGTGTTTGAACTTCTCATGTAACACATATATAGTTAACACAAAATTATTTTAATGATAACTATTCAGATAGTGTAGGCACATTTTGAATTATCCAGAAAATTGACTTTTTAATTCCTATAAGTGAGTGTTGGCTATTGCCTAAATTTGAGAATTTCAGGAATTCTGTGGATAGCAAATGATTAGAAATTAAGATCCATAAATCACTTTTTTTGTGGGAAATGGGGACCAGTTCTGGTAGCTGAATAAAGAAAATTCCAACAGATTCTGTCAGTTTCCCAGATTTCTTAAGAATCTGAAATGAACTTGCAAGTTTGAATGAAAATGTCCCCAAAGTAGTGAAAATAAAAGCTCTCATGGGCATCCTGGTTTGGAAAAATATTATAAACATTTTATGTAGCTCAATTTAACTTTCCTACATTATCGTCATTCTGCAAATGCACCGTTACATAGGCCACTGTTCTGTATGGTGTTTCAGGTAGTTCTGTTTCACAGTGGGTGGATATGACTACACAGTTCCACATTAATATATTTAGACCTAATGTAGGGAATATGGAGGTCTGCGCTATATATGGCTCGTAAATCAATAACAAATGAGTCCACATTTATGCACTATTTACAGTGAAGTTTTGTATATTCTGCATCCAAATAATTGCACTTATTATGTTCCATATTTTAAAGAAAAATCACATCTTTTCTGCTGTAGAAAATGGCTAAGTAGATAACGGATTTCTGAACTAAACATAATATGTAGCCTCAAAGTTAAAGCAATACGCTTGCATTGCACTCGGATAACCACTAGGACCTCAGAGCATGAGAGTTCTAATCAATTTTGTTTCATATGATTTGTTCATCATTAATCTAAAAATGTATTACTACCCAACACTTACATAACCATACCATAAATATGAAAAAGTAAAATCACTACATCTAACAATTGATGGAAATATATATGTGTATCCAAGCTTTAAATCAATATAGATTCTCTACAAGCAAATTCAAATATTTTCTTTTGCATCTTTCTAGTATTAAAATACGTTTTACACAAGATTTGAATATATTTTCCTTTCTTAGCCACGTAGTTGGTATTTTGCAAGGTCAGTCAGCCTAGCTGAGAGTCGAATTAGTTTGAGCAGATCATACTTGGACGATCCAATGCACTTGTAATTCTGCTCCTTGAGCTTAGAGCCTCTTTTAATATTATCATTTTTATATATTATAATTGTACATCTTTTCATTTTAAATGTAATGGCATTAGCAGTGGGATACTAGATACGTGAAGCCAAATGATAAGTGTGCTTAACATCATTTGCAGAATTTGTAGATGTTTAGAGAGGCTAGGGAAGAATTATATTTATATTCAGAGAAGTAGATCTATATTTGGCCTGAATTTTCAACATTTGAGATTTAAAGAAATGTTGAGCCTACACCTTAATCATGAGAGTTGTCCGTGATCTAGCATCTCTGAAGGAACGTCTACAGGCTCTGTGGGGAAAAATTTCTCTGGCAGGGTCAGGGAAAGAAAAGGCTTCAACTCCTTTCAGTTAATGCCCAAGGTGCCCATAGACAATTCTAGAAGCACAAGAGTGGAAAGAGGTCACTGGGTAATGAGTAAAACTGTTCTAAGGGGCATGTCTCATTAGGTGATGTCTAGGCAGAATGTATAAAAAGATAAAAAGTCCTTGAATTATCTCATGCTTTTCTGGCTTTTTTCTTGCCTCTTTTCCCTTCTTCTTTTCCTTTCTTCTTTTCCTATTTTTTCCTTTCTACTATAAAAACTTCAAAACAGCCCACTTCTATCTTTCCTGTCCCTCAGGAAACCAAATAACTCATTGGATGTTTGAGTTGAATTTGATCTAAACCATCTCTTGATTTCCAGGGTGACAATATTCTTCTTTCTTTCTTGGATATTGTGGTTTACTGAAGAAAATTAATCTCAATAAACGCCCCTGGATTTAAACTATTTTTATCACAGTCTACTTCTATTCAGTTTATGTTCTTTCCACCTGCAACTAAAATTATGCAAACCTTAGGCATTTGTTTTTGTGATACAATTTATCTCCGAATACCTATTTTGTATGTTTTTCCCCCCATTTTTCTATTCAATTCAGTAATCCACAATGGGATACAGTCTCCTGGGTCCCACAGGTTTGTCTCAAGTATTGTTTTGTTCTTCCAAAAATAACATCTTTAAAAATCATATTTACATTTTGATTACTTCTGTCTTGTAGAATAAAAGATTTCAGGATTGTGTCCACCGTACAAAAATCAGAAATTTATTTTTAGTAAGAGCCATCTGTCAGTCAGAATCTGACCTAGCTAACTGGGTGGATGGCCGAGGTCATTTTAATGTAGTTGGCTAGTAAAACCCTCTCTACTCTCTAAAGAGGCCTAGGTTGGAATGGACTCTCCATGATTGGGATAAAGATTAAAATGGAGTGTTTGGAGATTCTGAGTGCTAAATCAATATTTCTGCACAATGTATTTCAATATATTTCAGGACTTCTGTGTAGATATTATTTCAGTTTCAAAGTGCATTTATTTTTTTTTATTTTATTAACCTACTTTTCCAAATAAACTATTTGTTTCTGAATATTTATATATATATTTCATTTATATAATATAAATATAAATATATATTTCATTTTCCCCAAAACATATACTTACCACTCATCTTGGAACAATTTTGAGAACATTTGCCAGAATTTTCCAGAATCCCTTCTTATTTTATTTATTTATTTGTATTTTTTTTTTTTACCATGGTCTACCTCCCTCCATATATTCCTTTATGTGTCTTGCCAAACAGGGAAGGAGAATGCTGTTGTTCTTCACATGATTTGAGCTTTAGCATTGGAGGGAGTTGGCATTCTATGCTGTTATATTTCCTGTGTTATATACAATACTCTGTTATTGCCCAAAGAATCATTATTGATTTTAAATGAACTGTAAATCATCAATCGATCTGAAAATAGCACAGACTTAGTTACAATCATGAAAATAACACATCTTTAAAAAAAACTAAGATCAGTTTTATGTTAATTGTATTTTATTTAAGAATTATAGTGTATTATTAAATAAGCAAAGGAAAAATAAAAGTAGACCTGACTGTATCTAGATTTTGAAGAAAGATGTTGGCATTTATATCCAGGTAGAAGTGTATTGCTCAATCTGATGCTGCTTCTCATCTCTACTTATCACTGTAACCAGAGGGCCAGGTTTAAGACTTAACTGCCACCAGCTTAGGTGTGGGTAACTCACTTGTGTTCTCTGGAGCTTAGATCCCTAACCTGTAAATTTGGCTTGAAACATATGCCTGAGCACGAGCGCGCACGCGCGCGCGCGCGCACACACACACACACACACACACACACGTACTTACATATAAACAAATATGTATATGCTATATATTTGTGTGAAGATACATATATAATTTATTTTTCTGCAGACTGGATGTCAAAAAAAGCACATATTTGAAATATTTTGAACTTTTGGATAACAAATTTACATGATGATGTGATTCTAATATATTGGGTATGTTTTCTAGCTGTTCTTAGCTTGCTGGGTTCAGGTTTCTAACAGGTCACCTGGCAATGCAGTGATTAGAAGAAACTTCATGGAAGAGATGGGGCTAGTGTCTTAAAGGGAGAAGATATGAATTGGTAGAACAGAGGAAATTCAGTTCAAACATAGAAAAAGGAAGCCCTGCATTAAAATTTGTTACAGTACATCTTGAGGATGAGAAGAGACCTATTTCAATGAATGAAGTGGTTTTCATTTGGAAATAGGCAGAAAAAAATATAGAGTGCAGAGGCCTTTAGGATCAGTCTGTGTTAACTATTAGTTTTCGGGAGGCAGAGCCAGCCATTGAGTGGTTTGGACAGGATGGTATAATGATGAAATTGAAGTTTGGGAATGATTATTCTGGCAGTGAATGGTATACAGTCAAGATCTGGGAGACCAAGATTGACAGACTGAAAATCAGTGGGAAACAGTTGTAGTGATCTAAATAGGAAGTGACAAGAGCCTATATCACAATAGTGACAAGAAAAATGAAAAAGAATGAGTATATCTGAGATAGATGGCAAATGAGTAACTGACAGTATTTGATCATACTTCCAGTCCTCCCAATACCCCAAAATATCACATATATTTTTGGCCAGGGAGTTGGAGCTAATGATGTTGTCACAGTTTGACAGCAGACATGAAAAGTAGAAGTCACAGAGAAGCTGAAGAATTTAGTTTTCAACTAAATTTATGATTTTTTATGTTGGGAAATTAAAAATATCCTAAAGGCACTCTAAATTGAAAGGTGACCCACGTGAAATATCAGGTGAGTTGATATTGATTAGGAAGCTGTCTCTACACAGGTGGTTGTTGAAACCGAAAACGGAATCAGCTCTCACTGAAATGTGTTTCCCATTAGGCTATCTACTCCTCAGGATAAACCTAGTCATTTGTACTGGTTTCAGATACAGTAAAATATCAACTTCACCTTTATTTTTCTCTCTTTTGCCTTTAAGTACAAATGTAAATTTTTTCTTCTTTAGTTACAAGAACAAATTTAGAGTAGGTTGTCAATGTCTATTGCCAAGTAATTGCAATATTCACCCAAAGAATCTTGTAATATTTTATGCTCATTAGCAATTCCATTTGATATCCAAAATTTCAACAAAAGGAAAATTATACACTTGTTTATCCAAGCTGAAGGCTTTTGAAGATACTGCAGAATTCATAGCTGCTATGGAAAATAAAGCAGCATAACTAACTCCTGGTATTTATTTTCTCAAAAAAGAGATTTGATTTTTTTTATTTCTTTTTTGTGTGACTGTAATTATTATCATTATTTTTTACTTTTGGAGAGGCAAGCATTTTGTGCTATGAATTGAACGTAGAGTTGTACACAGAAAAATATTTGTTTTCATGTTTCCTTTCCCTAAAATGTCTGCTAGAGTACAGATGAAGATTCTACCTAGAATGAAGATAATCTTTTTTGAAACAATTGGTTAAGATTAAATTGATTTGGTTTAAATAAGACTATATATGGAGAATCTAATAAACATTGAGACAAGTAGATACAACAATAGTTTAAAGAAGAAAAACTGAATACATCCTATTCAGTACAACCTTAGATAAAATCTCATGAATGAAATTACTTGGCGAGTAGGGCTACAAAAAATAGGGAAATCATAGGCGCACATGCTCTAGCAACTATGGCTACGCATACACTGCCGCTTCCCAAAATTTTCTATCAATTTTAAACAAAGGTAGAGAATAAAATTATGGATACTATCTTAGCAAGTTTTCTTATTTTTTTTAAAGTAAGATTGCTAGTGCTGCATGAACTATTTGTTTTCCCCAAACACTTGAGTTGCAAAGAATTTTATTTCATGGAATAATAGAATCCATTAACTATGATCCTAGAGAAAGAGAAAGTTTTCAATTAGTTAATATAATTATATTTGTTACAAGTCAATCAGCAACAACTCAGTATTTGAAAATCCATGTTTTAGTTTCAACTGAACCACTACCTAGTCATGAAATTGAGGAAACGAATTTATCACTAAGGACCTCAGTTGGCACTGTAATATTCATTCAGATAGATTATTTTAAAAACAAAATCAGGTCATACATATAAAATGACTGTGAAGACTCTAACTGCTTTGTGAATGTGTTGCTAAGATCATTCTAGTTTTATTATTTGTCTCATGGAGGATTCCATTATACATATTTTACTTTTAAGTGAGTGATAAAATGTTAAGCTTCCTAATGATTTCTGTGGTCTCTAGCATAGAGATTTGTTACAAAAAGGGATGCCATATTATCTATGTAATCATTTTACATAATACATGGAGTTGTACTGGATTAATCTCAACCATTTTTAATTTAACTATTACTTTGTAGTTGAACTTGAGCTTCCTCTATTCAAAGATTCCAGTAATCATTCTTCTTCAGCAAACACACACACACACACACACACACACACACACACACACACACACACACACATCTTCTGGATTGTATACTAAAAATTTATATATTTTGGATTGAAATTAATTTGTAACCAACAAAGTTTATTATTTAGAGACTGTGATTCTGCCCAGATTAAGATTTGTGGCGTTATGTTTAAAAGGAAGACAATAATACCTAAATTAGATGGTCAGTGTTAGGATTAAATGAGATAAGGGTCAGAAAGTGAGTAATATAATGCCCAACTTATAGCAGGTGTTAAATTATTGTATGCATTCTACCGTCCTCCACAAGCACACACGGCCCCTCATAACACAAAATAAGCACTGAATATAAAAGCCTCAGAAAGATTAAGTGGTAGGAAAAGTTACTTTTACTCTTTGGTAACCCCAGACAGAGAGTTGGTTTGGGGTTTAGTTAGGAAAGCATCACAGGTGAGAAACACAAGTTTGAGGCAGTTTTATGGCAGAGTGTGGAGGTTTAGTCTGAGTTTGCGGCTTTTCTTTCCTCATTCATATCTCGTCAATTAATTTTCCCCTTTAAGGACCCTTTCAAGCCTGAGAGAAGAGTACAGAATAAATCAAAAGAAAGAGTGGAGAGACAAAAATGAATGCAGAAAGAGGGATGCAGGAAACAAAAACCCAGCAAGTAGAAGGGAATAGTGAGAATAAAGAAAACGAGAAAAAGAAAACAAACAAACATGCACACAAACAAAAAACCACCAAGAGAGGGTGATCCATACCTCACAGTGCTAATTAAGTTCTAAGCTGGTTTGACATTTTTGCCTCCTGGACACCAACACCCTCCAAGCGGGGCCTCTTTGATTTGGTCTCACATCAGTAGCGGGCTTTGTTATGAGATCTAGGTATTAACCCCACATGTGGAAAGATAGGTTAATTTGACTAAATATATTTTTTAAATTCTCCGCACCATTGAGTCATCTAAGTGTCACATCTAGTATCTGCCACCTAATGTTATGCTTAGCTTCTCCTCCTTCAAGTAGAGAAATCCAGATAACCAACCCCTCCCCTCTTCCCCTCTACACACATGTACACACACATGCACACACACAGGAAGGCATGCATGCACAGCACATATTAAACACACAAATGAATAAATAGTAGAGTCCGTGGATGATTTAGAGACATGTGAAAAGTGAAAGTTTTGGGGGCTCAAGTAATTTAGGAGAGTTTTCTATTAACATGTAGTTTAATGTTGTCTTTCCAGTTAATGTAGTTATATAATATGTAAATTAAAGATGGTGTCTACTGCCTAAGTAATTATTACAACAAATAGGACCGATTATTGAAGGTGAACTCCTTCCTTTTCTGTTCTCTACTCAAAACAATACTTTTAAAATTGCTTATTTAGTATTGAAGTAGGAAAAAAATAACGTTGATACAATAAAAGAACTTATTTCTGACTGGTAGGTGATGATAGGATCTGACAAGGGGGTGTACTTCAGAGAGATTGTCAGGATTCTACACCCTTGTCTGTGCCTAGGAAAACAGCCCAACCTACCTACCTTTAGTTTTGAATGGAGGCTGCAGGATGTTACTCATCATTGCTTTTAGAACAAACACTTCCCTTTGAACGATGTCACATCACTATTACCATGGCAACAGACGCCCTATAAAGATGAGTTATCTATGAATTGTGCTTCTGTTCAATAAACACATCTCTTAAATTCATCAGGAAAAAGGTTTAGTGGAGGCAGTTCTATATATTGACATTTCTTATTCTAAACCTCTGTCTGATAATAAATATTCATTTCATTAAAGTGTTTAATTCAGGTGTCTTTCATATTAGCTATATCACATAAATTTATAACAGTTTTATGAATTTAAAACAGTTGCTTTATTATAAAAATGATGTATTTACATAATAAATGAGATTATTCTTATGCTAAAAAGCATAAAAAGAAAAAAGAACTCTATTCTCAGTGTCTAAACATACAGTGAACAATTAATTTATAAAAAATTAAGTTTATCAACTTTATAAACAAATAATTTTATAAACTTTATAAGTATAGAGTCAAGAATTAGCTTAATGGACCAAAAAAAACCCAAAAAACTTGTTTCAAGTTAATGACTTTTAGAGGAATGCAATTAAGTGGGTAGAAATTATAGCTCCATATATTTTATTTATTTTATTTTTTATTTTTTTGAGACAGAGTCTTGCTCTGTCCCCCGGGCTGGAGTGCAGTGGTGCGATCTCAGCTCACTGCAACCTCTGCCTCCCGTGTTCAAACGATTCTTCTGCCTCATCCTCCAGAGTAGCTGGGATTACAGGCGCCCGCCAACACGCCCGGCTAATTTTCGTATTTTTAGTAGATACGGGGTTTCACCAGGTTGGCCAGACTAGTCTCAAACTCCTGACCTTGGGTGATTCACCCACATCGACCTCCCAAAATGCTGGGATTACAGGCGTGAGCCACTGAGCCTGGTTTTTCCACCAAAGTAGCACCCTCTGGGAATGAGGTAATGATAACACACCGACAGCAAATTATTTCGTAGAATCATCTCCTCCTGTCTAAACTGCAATCTACAAAAATACTTTACATAATAGATAAACCTAAGAGGAAAATATAAAGTCCAAAAGGGTAAATTTCTAAAACGAAATTGTAAATAAAAGAATGGAAATGATTGGATGCCAGAAGAAAGGCAATGAGAATAATTTGTCAGCAAGGAGAATGATTTGATTATAGGTACCAGTGTCATGGCTTTATAAAGATGGTTATGATTTCAATAGGTCGCAAAAATTACAATGTATATGATTATATATCTTAAAATAATATGTAATTTTATGTAATTATACAAAAAACGTTCAGCTTCTATTCTGGACCCTTGAAGAACATAATATTAATATTTTATGGTGATCTATTCATAAAGAAGTTGATGCACCTTTGTAGTTATTCTTCGTCCCAGGTTGCAGAATGCAAGCTCCCACTGTCAATTACACAAATACTATTGGTTTCACAGTTTGTGAGTGTGTGTAATTTTTAAGCAATTTCTTAGAACCTATAAAATATATATATATTTTTTTTTTTCCTTTTTTTTTTTTTTTTTTTTAGACAGAGTCTTGCTCTGTCACCCAGGCTGGAGTGCAGTGGTGCGATCTCGGCTCACCTCCGCCTCCCGGGTTCACGCCATTCTCCTGCCTCAGCCTCCCGAGTAGCTGGGACTACAGGCGCCCATCACCGCGCCCGGCTAATTTTTTGTATTTTCAGTAGAGACAGGGTTTCACTGTGTTAGCCAGAATGGTCTCGATCCTGACCTCGTGATCCGCCCGCCTCGGCCTCCCAAAGTGCTGGTACCACAGGCATGAGCCACCGCGCCCGGCCCCCAGAACCTGGTATATTAATGAAAATTTTTTTTTTCAAATCTCAGAGGTAAAGACTAGATAAGAAATTGAGTGACCAAAATCATATACTTCTCCTAACCTGAAACTGCCAGCCAGTAGTAAATGGTTTATCAACTCATTCCAGCAAGTAAAATACATCAGTTAATACTCTTGCAACGTAAATTGGTATATTGTAGCTCATTTGGTATATCTCCCAATATTCCTAATTTTCATTTTTTAGTTCTTGTTAATCAGTCCTCACCAGTCCTAATCAACATTTTATTTACATTTTACTTATTCGTAACATTAGAAGAAATGTTTGGGTAATATCTGTGCATACAGGATATATTTTCCAAGGCAATGTAGCATACTGGCTCTAGAAACAGATCTGGAGTTTAATGCCATGTCAATCACTATGTGACCTTTTGCAAGTTACTCACTGTCTTTTATCTTCAGTTTCCTGAATACAATGAAACCATCTACTGCGCAGTGTTTTTGTGACAATTGAACTCAATAATACTGTAAAGCACTTAGAACAATTTTTAGGACATAATAATTGTTCAGTAAATGTATTCCACCTCCTCATCATCATCATTGGAATTATTGCAGTTATTTTCAACCATTATTCAGATCCTATTGAAAGGTTGAAGGCTTGTAGAAATATATACGGAATGATTTTCACTGTCGCTCGGAGTAGCAGATTTATGAAATTAATTATCCTTAGCTCCTTGTGCTAATACTGTATTATCCCTTTAGTCATTTTAGCCTGGAATTACACTCTTAAATATAACCAAGATCCAGTGGGCTACATCATAAGGAAAAAGTAGAAGTGGTGTTGAGGGGCGTCTCCTGTAGACAAGAACAAGTAAGCTAATTTACTTGAATTTGACTTTGAATAGAGGTGAAAACTTCACCAAGAATTTATTGTAAGTGTCCCAGTTTAATAGTGCCCTCAGAAGCCTGTCTAAAGCAAACACAAATCTTCTCTGGAGGAAAGCACCTTCAATCTAAACTTCAAAGCATGCCTATATATAAAGCTCAACTTACTAGGAGTAAAACAATCAATAATAAAAAATAATGATAACTTAAAAACATAAAGAAAAGCAAAAAATTGAGTTAGTCAAAGCAACAGTCACAAGACTCCAACCAAGATTCCTAGTGGGTGCTTCATAAAAATTGACAAGCTGAATCTAAGACCTAAATGGAAGAGCCAGAGGCTAAGAATTAGAAAAAAAAAAAAAAAAAAAACTCCAGTGAAACAAAAATTTAAAAAGTAGAAAAAGAAGGAGAGTTTTCTGGATAGTAAAGTGTTTGTGAAGAAAAGGTAAATTAAGGGCATGTATTCATTTTGGATATAGATGATTTTATGTTTTGTATGTGAATGCATATAGAGGGATATATATGTATGTGTGTGTGTGTATTATATATATATATATATATATCTGTGCATGTGTATACACAAACATACACTCATACTCACATTAGGTTGGTCACAGTGGCTCATGCCTGTAATCCCAGCACTTTGGGAGGCCGAGGCTGGCGGATCATAAGGTTAAGAGATTGAGACCATCCTGGCCAACATGGTGAAACCCCATCTCTACTAAAAATACAGAAATTAGCTGGGCGTGGTGGCACACACCTGTAATCCCAGCTACTCGGGAGGTTGAGGCAGGAGAATCGCTTGAACCTGGGAGGCAGAAGTTGCAGTGAGCTGAGATCACGCCACTGCACTCCAGCCCGGTGACAGAGCAAGACTGTCTCAAAAAAAAAAAATTGTCATAATTTAAACATGAAATATTTTCTCAACAGCAGATACAGGAGAATAATAGACCTTGATTGAATAAATAGATATCATGGAATATTATACATACTCATGGTCGAGAAATAAAAAACCTTCCAACAGTGACATTACTTAATGTCCATAAACATTTAAATTATTAAAAGTGTTTCTCATTTACTATCTCTTCAATACAATATATTTTATTTGCACTGGAAATTTTAAAAAAATATTTTTAAGGCCGGGTGCGGTGGCTCACGCCTGTAATCCCAGCACTTTGGGAGGCCGAGGCAGGCGGATCATGAGGTCAGGAGATGGAGACCATCCTGGCTAACACGGTGAAACCCCGTCTCTACTAAAAATACAAAAAATTAGCCGGGCATGGTGGCGGGCGCCTGTAGTCTCAGCTACTCGGGGGGCTGAGGCAGGAGAATGGCATGAACCTGGGAGGCGGAACTTGCAGTGAGCCAAGATCGCGCCACTGCACTCCAGCCTGGGCAACAGAGCAAGACTCCGTCTAAAAAAAAATATATATATATATATATATATATATATATATATATATATATATATACATATATATATATTTAAGCACAGAGTTGTGAATAGCATGCATTATTGCATATTGATACACATTCATTGTTACATAATTTTACAGTTAAATAAGTGAGGGTCAGATATTGCCAAAGGAAGAGTTCAAGAGCTGGTTTCTAACACAGGTCTTATTTTTAAAGCTTGTTTGTGTGTGTGTGTGCGTGTGTGTGTGTGTAATTTTTTTGGTTTCCTAGTAATCGGGAGTTTTGGAAAATTATGATCTCAGTATGTTCTTAAAAATAGTTTATAGATAATTCCAAGAATAAAAAAAGTTTTTAAATATAATAAGGAATCTTAACCAGGTAAATGTATGTCTTATTTTTTACAAAAACAGTTAAAAGTTAAAAAAGAAAAATAGAAAAAAATTATAAAATAGGGATATAAAGAAAATATTTTTGTACAGCTGTACAACGTGTTTGTGTTTTGAGTTAGATTTATTACAAGAGAGTCTGAAAGTTAAAGAATTTAAAAGTTCATAAAGTTACCGTAAGCTAAGGTTAGTTGGATATTGAAGAAAAATGTTTTCTACACAACGAGTATAATCTAATTGTATAGTGTTTATAAAGTCTATAGTAGTGCAGGGTAATGTCCTCAGCCTTCACATTCACCCACCACCCACTCACTGACTCACCCAGAGCAACTTCTAGTCATGTAAGCTCCGTTCATAGTAAGTGCACTATACAAGTGTACCATTTCTTATAATCTTTAATGCCATATTTTTACTGTACTATTTTTATGTTTATATATCTTTAGATACACAAATACCATTGTGTTACAATGAACTATAGTAACATGCTGTACAAGTTTGTTACCTGGGAGCAATAGGCTGTACCATATAGTCTAGGTGCGTAGTGGTGTGTACCATTTAGGTTTGGTTAAGTATGCTATATGATGTTCACATAATGAAATTCACCTAACACCACATTTCTCAGAATATTTTCCCACTGTTAAGTGACACATGACCGCAGTCATGCCCACCAAAATTCAGGACATAAAATTGTTATTGCCAGTTAGAAAATATTATATTGGAAAAGTCTGAATGCTGTCTAAAACTAAGAATTACAAAATAAATAGCATTCAGGATCTACCTCCTTTAGGTGTGAGATTTTGTTTTAAACTTTTTTGTTTATATTCATCAGATTTGCAGGATAACATAAATACTCAATTATCCTGAGTCGTTTATATTCACAAAAGAGTTGGTGAATCTTTTTCATAAGGATGAAAATAGGAATAGACAAAAAAGACATTATACTAAAACAAAAATCTCTGAAACCGTATCAGAAAGAAAGAAAAGAAAGAAAGAAAGAAAAAGAAGAAATACATGTCTGCTTTGAAAGCACACTTGTTTTGACTTTTGGAAGGTAGAAGCTTTGTTAAGAACTGAGTTGTCTTATTGCTACACCCCATGATTAGAGATTAATTGTGGCATATTTCTTCTTGACCCCTTGCTAAAGATTCTTCAGTCTGCAAGTTGGAGCATTACGTCTTTCCTCCAACCCTTACATATTCTTATTTTTAAGGTATAGTTTTTAAAATATAGTTATTTTCTGTTTTCTTTACTCTTGGTTCAAAAAGCATAATTTAGAAATTGATCGTGCTGATAAGAATACAATGGCAAAAGATAAAAAAGCTTTTATTATAGCATTATAATAATGTGTGTTATGTACGAAAAAGAGCAAGACTAGGTTTTTTTGTTCTTTCTGATTTTGCCAGGTTACCTTACAAATGGTAGTAATTATCCTCTTTTCTTAACTTTAGGCTTTTATGATCTTGCAAAGATATGACAAAAATGGGAAAGTAACTGCTAATTGCTATTTTTTTTTTGCAATGTTGGAAAGTACACTGTGACAATGTTTAAAAAAATAAAACAGAGAGTGGAAAAAAATCACCATCATCAAGCAGCCTTTATTAACCACTTATTTATAAGGTGATGCCACGGCAGACAGGCAGGCTGGGAGGGAGGATGTAAGATGCATTAGTCACCTGTGCTATGTCCTGTGTACTTATTCTATCCCAATGAATGTCCACAGCAATTCTAAGAAATTTGAATAATGATACCAATTGAGAGATGAGGAAAGTCAGCTCAGAGGTATAGCAAAATTTCTTATGTGATACACCTACCAGTGGTAAGTGGTAGAATTGGATTTGACCCAGATGGGTCTGATTTCTGAACACATGCTCTTTCCTTCATATTTCCTGTCATGATGGAATGCTTACTTTTTTGAAAGATGCAATTCCCAGATAACTTTTCAGAATATAGAGAAAAGATAATCCCATGAAGCTTTTATTTTGAGACAGGGTCTCGCTCTGCCATCCAAGCTGGAGTGCAGTGGTGCGATCTTGGCTCACTGCAGCCTCCACCTCGACAGGTTCAGGTGATCCTCCTACCTCACCCTCCTGCCATGGAGCTTCCTTAAATAATAACAGAGTGATGAAATAATCTGTACAAAAAAAACCCATGACACAAATTACCTATTAACAAACCTGCACACGTACCCCAAACTTAAAATAAAAGTTAAAAAATTAAAAATTGATATAGAATCTGTCTATACAATTTAATCTGTCTATACAAGTTAAATAGATTTTAATCTTCATAAAAATATGCCTTTCAAATGTAAGATTGCATGTTTTTCTTTGTATCAGTTAGTAGTACATTCATTACAAGGAAACCAAAAATGTACCCAACCCACAGCAGTCTTTTTTTTTTTTTTTTTTTTTTTTTTTTTTTTTTTTGAGACAGAGTTTCGCTGTGTCGCCCAGGCTGGAGTGCAGTGGCACGATCTCAGCTCACTGCAAACTCCGCCTCCCAGGTTCACTCTATTCTCCTGCCTCAGCCTCCCGAGTAGCTGGGACTACAGGCACCCGCCACCGCGCCCGGCTAATTTTTTGTATTTTTAGTAGAGACGGGGTTTCACCGTGTTAGCCAGGATGGTCTCGATCTCCTGACCTCGTGATCCGCCTGCCTCGGCCTCCCAAAGTGCTGGGATTACAGGCGTGAGCAACAGCGCCCAGCCACCACAGCAGTCTTAAACAAGATAAAAATCTGCTTTGCTCTAAGAAATGTAGAGATAATCATGCTAGGGTTGTTTTAAAGCAAAAAAATAAAAAGTTATCTGAGACACAGGTGCCTTCCATCTCTTCTTATAGGTTCTAGAGTCTGGAAGAAGGGATTAGGGTGGGATTGGTTCTGGCTGCTACAGCATTAACTTCATTAGGAGAAACTCTGGGTGGATTGGGTAAGTCACCATCAGGCTATTGGCCAGTCATGAAATAACAGATATCATAGAAAATCAGAGTGCCCATGGAAGTCTGTTTTCGGAACTTTACGATGATAAATGTGACAGATCTGGGAGCAAGTTTAATTGCCAGGACAATCTGGAGAGCTGGAGGCATATTCTTTTGGGAGAGCCAAGAGAGGTGCTTGACAGATGGTACTTTGCCTCAAGCCTGAAAGAATCGAAAGGTTCCTGTCTCATTTTTTCACATCTGTTCTTGGCTCCCTAAGTATTACTCTTCTATGTATTCCCCTCACCTAGATGCCAAGTGTTTTCTCTAAGAAAACATTGCATCTTTTCCAGCTGTACTGTAACTTCACTCTGTGACTTGAATTTAACACAATTTTATTGCATATGAAAATGAAGAGGTCTGGAGATTTCTCTCTTATGCATGAATTGCCAAAATGACATTTCTAAACCTAGAATAATAGTTTTCTTTAGAGAATGAGATTCGCTAGGACCCACATTCTCTTCAATTAAATCTTAATACGTATAAGTCATGATCTCATTGAAATAAGTCATTGATTCATTTTTTCCATATTAAAAGATAACAAAAACGGATTATGATAGACTAGAATGCAAATTCTAAGTTGTTTCAGTGCCAAACAATGATTGGTACTTAATTTTATTAGGAATGTTATACTAATGCCCAGTTGATTCTGACAAGCATGTCTGGATTTATTTGTAAATAGGTTAGTTAATGGAGACATTTAAAAGATTCCTGAAGGTACCCAAGAAATAAAAACGCTAAGAAATGAAATCATTGCAAACATATGTCTCGTAGTTGACAAACTCTTCTTTTAAAATGGCAAAGTGCAATGTCCTCCTAAGGAAGCTATGCTTATCTCTTCCTAGACTGATCTACAACTTAATGCTAATATCTTTAATTTCTTTAACAAACAGTTTAGGTAAGTTACATTTGAGAGTCAAAAGTGAGGGCAGAGGAGGGACTTGGTGATCAATTTTCCCCACAGCAAACTGAGAAAAGAAAATGAACATGAGATAGTTGACATTCAGAATGTTCTAAAAAATTCAGAATATATGATTGCCATAAAGTCTGGGGAAGAGAGGCTTACGCAGCATCCTCAAGTACAGATACTGTACTAACACAGGTAATGAGTGAATGGTGTTCAGATCATGGGCACTTGGTACTTAAAGAAGCGCAGTGAGACGGAAATAAGGAAAAGCAGGCAAGAGCCCAGCTCCACGTGCTTCATTTACAATCTTGCTTAGAGTCAGCCCTGTTTAAAATGGAGGTGTGGAGAGACAGAGAGAGACCCAAACCGATCTGTAAGGGACATTAAAGGTTAATAGAACTGCGGGTCAATGTTCAGAGATTTTTCAACAAGTCTGAGAAGTGTTAAGAAAAGAAAAAAAGACTAATGGCTAAAACCAAATATCATTTCTCTAGATTTAGCCCACTCTTCAGAGGTCTTGCTTTGTTTCAAATTTTTGAATCCGTTAATTTTAAACATTTGGATCATACCTTGAATTTTTTCCGTCAAATTGTATCACCACATCTAGTCAGACACGCGGCTTGCTCTTTTCTTTCTTTAGTCTTACGCACGTGAGGAATTTCCACTGCTACAAACCCTCCATCCCTTCAGGCTTTCTTTCTTTCCTCCCTTCCTCCC
This sequence comes from Homo sapiens, assembly GCF_000001405.40. Classification (NCBI taxonomy): domain Eukaryota; kingdom Metazoa; phylum Chordata; class Mammalia; order Primates; family Hominidae; genus Homo; species Homo sapiens. Next base: position 146,488,259 of record NC_000007.14, read on the forward strand.
CTCCCCTCCCCTCCCCTCCTCCCTCCCTCCCTCCCTCCCTCCCTTCCTCCCTCCCTTCCTTCCTTCCTTCCTCTTGCTTTAATGTGTGTATTTATTATTCAAGAGTTATAAGTAGATATTAATTATATCAGATTTATTTAGCTATGTCATAAATTTCATTTATTGAAAAAAACTGTGTGAAATCAGGACTCTGTAGGTATACCTGGAATGCATAGTCATTTTAAAACCAAACTCTCTATTTTGTTAGGACTACGCTACCACAAAAGCTTCTCACCTGCTCCTCCTACCTTCCTTCTCTTCATTCAACCATTCACTGCTGCCTAATGAAACGCTCTTAAAACAGAAGTTTTGTTTGTTTCTGTTTTTTGTTTTGTTTTGTTTGTTTTTGAGACAGGGTCTCACTCTGTTTTTTGTGCTGGTGTACAGTGCCATGATTTTGGCTCACTTGCAGCTTCGACCTCCCAGGCTCAGGTGATCTTCCCACCTCACCTGCCCAAGTAGCTGGGATTTCAGGCACGTGCCACCACGCCTGGCTAGTTTTTTGTGGAGACGGGGTTTCTCCACGTTGCCCAGGCTAGCCTCAAACTCCTGGGCTCAAGCAATCCTCCTCCTTGGCCTACCAAACTGTTGGGATTACGGGTGTGGGCCACCACGCTAGGGCACAACAGAAGTTTTTGAGCTTTTAGAGACAGTAGTGTTTTCTCAAGGGAAATCTTATTAGGGACATGGAAACAGAGATTTCAATTTGAACAGCTGTGCACTGGCACAGCAGAAAAGACTGAAGCCACACCTATTTGAAATCGCTAAAGTTACCACCCATTTTTCAGCAGTTTGGGGCCATTTCCCAAGTCTGCATTTTAATTACTATCACCCAACAACAGTTCCTTCCTTGAATAATTCTTAGGTTAAACCTTTTTTCACATGTACCCTATAAATATGTACAAATATAATGTATCAATTTTTAAAAGTTACTGAAAACTCCTTAACATCTCACTATTGCCTTCATGATCCTCAGTCTCCTTTGATTATATTAAAAGATTATATTGAAAATGAGTAGGAAATCAAGTAGAAATATATAAAGAGCATTGCAAAAAGCTAATTTAGTTTTTAACTTGTCTAATTGAAAACCGAACCTTTCTCTTACTGCTCTTTTAGTAGTAATAATAATGTGTATGGTTCATGAGAAAGGCTATAAAATATAACTAAGTTTTACATTATCCTTACATCAGAACTCTGTGTAACACTGATGCAGGAGTTTTCTCAGCCAATTTGCCAACTGGGGACCTCCACGGCCAGTGACACACACACCCCCACCTGCTACCAGGGCCACAGTTGGCCTTGGAACTGTCATTGGAGGTGCCCTGCCCACTTGGCCTGCGTGTGCTACAGCTTGTACCCATGTTCGGCGATTCCCAAGCTCTTGTCCCCCATCCAAGAAGAATGAGGATATGCTGACAATTCGAAGGGTGAAGATGGGTGGAGAGGAATTTTATTGAGCAAGGGAATAGCTCTCAGCAGAGAAGGCACGTGGGGGTGGTCTCCAACCCCTGAAGTCGGGTGGTTTCTTTCTCAGTGTGGCTGAGTTCAGGACTTCTATGGGCTCAGAATAGGGGAGTGTGCTGACTGGTTTGAGTATGCAAAAAAGGTTAAAACAAAAGCACCACTTAAAGGTGGGCATGACAGTATAAAAAACAAATTAGGGAAAGGTAGGTATATGTAAAATCAGTGATGGGTAGGGATCAATCAGAAGAAAGCGCATCAAATGGGAAGACAGGTTCTCAATCCAGTCCATAGATTTGACTTGTAGCTTGGCTTTCAGGCTTTAAACTGCCTTTGGTTTGGAGGGGGGATTTCACTGGGGACCTGCCCCTACCTGCCTAGGCATTTGTCTGCCTCCTGCCACTATCAACACCTCACAAGTTTCAATAATCATTTGTTGTTTTTTTAACTCAACAAATATTTATTGAACAGCTACTATATTTTATATATCTCAGACACTGTTTTAATCACTAGGAAAAAATATGGCAGTGAATAATATAAACCTGTCTATCCTCATGAAGCTTATATTCCAAAGGAAGAAAAAGGCAATATACAAGATAAATTAGAAAAATGTATACTATGCTAAGTATTGGTAAGTTGTAAAATAAAAAACAATCACAGAATGGAAACACAAAGTGTAAAGACTGTGGGTTTGGATAAAATGGTCTAAACATGTTTTCCCGCGACATAACTTTTGAGTAAAGGCTGATAAATGTTTGTTGAGTGAAACAGGTATGAACAAAAAACAGTAAGACATTTAAGTGTAGAATTCAATTTAACATTTTATTTATGGAGTACCTGCTATATGTAAGGTTCTGTAGTACCCAATGGGAAAATACTAAGATAAAGGTGTATCTGCACTTAAAATATCGTATATATTTGTTAATACATAATTGATTAGGTAAAAATAAGTTCATATTTTTAGAGTTCTCTTTAAATTATCTTTAAATTCCCAAAGTAACACTGGAATTTTAAGTAGTTTATTCACCTTACTAGACCTCAGTATCCACTTTAAAATGAAGATTTTCAATGAGCAATAAGATTCTATATCTATCATGGGAATGTAGTACTGATAAATGGCGAAGCAGATAATTTTTTCTCACTTTGTAATGGTGACTTTACTGTCTAAAATCTAAGCCAATTATGTAATTATACCAATGGAAAAATATGCTATATGTATTTGTAGATATTTATCTATAAATATGCTTTTTATTTCTCTCAATCTTTTAAAAAATTATATTCTTTCTAGAGTGCATATTATATGAAAAAGGCATAAAGATTTTTGCAAAGCCCCCCCAAAAAAAACAAAACAACAAGCAAACAAAAAACCCAAAGATGAGAAATTATAAGGCTGTTATATGAAAATAAAGTTTCCATGTACAACTAAATCATTCTAGCTACAAGAACACTTCAGTGGCATTCAGAGCATAGAATTTCATCACAGAATGGAATCTTGTATTGCCCCTTTTATCCCACACCCGTGTGAGCTTTGGAGGGTTGGGTTCTGCTCACTTCTCTGGTATAATAACATAACAATGCTCATGGGAAGTGTATCATCATGTTTTTCTTCTTTTTAACAAAAAAAAAACAACATGATCCCAAAGTAAGGGAAAATCAGAAAGTAAGTTTTATTGCCTTTAATATATTGTATTTTTTTTTCTTATGGGGACTTTTGCAACTCAGATTAGGGCGTTTTGGAATTATTATCTGAGCTGCAGTGTCAAGAGACTGACTCCCCAAAGATTAACTCCCCAAAGGGTACAATGGTGACTCACATGAAGGATGCACACGAAAGGCTTTGTCACTTCGGTAATTGGAGAGCGTTTTTAGAGAGGATGCCAGGCACCCATCAGAGCATTCCTACTCTCTTACAAACCCAGTGCTGTTAGTGAATCTTCTATGGATTCAGAAGCTGAGATGAAACTAATGTCTCATATCTGTGGATACAAAAGAAGTAAAGAAAATATTGATTTTTGATTTTGAATTAGAAATTGTGGGGTCATCCTCTGCCTACTTTGTGAAACAAAATTTCTCACAATTTCCAGAAAAAGGTAATTCATCTTCTATTATGTGTCTGCTTGTGAGAATTTCTATATAAGCCTGCAGAAAGTGATACCTCCCTGAAACTCTGTATCCTTGATCTAAAGATATGAGGATGCAAAAATGGTTGTGACTGTTGGAAAAATAAGAGAAGCCTATTGTCTTGTTTTATTTTCTGGATTCCAAGATGGTAAAACTGCTCTGATTTTCTATAATTAAGAAACGCAATGTCTCTAGAAAGATGGTGATTGGAACGTGAGTAAAAACAAACAAACAAACAAAACTTATTTTGCGAGTTTTCATCCTTGTGCACACAATGGTGCACTGCCAAATGGAAATGTTTGCTAAGACCAAATACATATAAAAGGTTGAGAGAAGAGGGGGGCAGGAGGAGAGAGAGGGGGAGAGAGAGAGAGAGAGACAGAGAGAGAGAGAAAGCATGAGTAACTAATACGATTTCCACAATGTAAAAATAGAATTTGACAAGCCAACATTCACTTGGCAAATACTGTGCCCTTCCTCATGTTCATCTTGCTCATAAAAATGTCTTTGGGAAACTATTTTATTGAGGTTAGGCATCACAAATCAATCCACGTTTTAAACATTTGGAGTTTCATCTTAGTTCCTTGGTTCTTCCTTGGAGTTGTTATTCTAAACATCAATTTGTAAATCTTTTCATATCTTCTTAAGCAGGTGTCAAACCAACTCCTTTGGCAGAATTCTAAAAGCAACTTGTACGCAACTCTAAGACAGATGAATGTATACAAAATTCAGGCTTCATCTCTGCACAGAGATAAGTGTGAACTAAGGTTCATGCTTCTTTCATCTTGCTTTGGTTTCTCAGTTGCTTTATCTGTTTTTAAATAAACTGTGTTGTGTATATTGAAGCTATACAACATGATGTTATATGATATGCATATACAGTAAAGTGTATATTATAGGGGAGCAAATTAAAATATCCATCATCTTAAACATTTTTTCCTTTTGTGGCAAAAGCAGCTAAAATCTACTCATTTAACAAAAATCCTGAATGCAATAAAATATTATTAAATATTTTCTGAATTTTTATTTGAAGTAGTCTACAAATATTTACTAGGTCTTTATTTCTTCTGAGTAAACAACACCAAACAAGATGAGATTTGTGATGTAATGAATACTTGAGTAATCTAAGCGCAATTTAAGGATAAGTCTATAATCCAGGCAGACATATCTAAATAATAACCCTTGGAAATAAAGTAGTAAAAGGAAGCACACGCTTTCTAACTTACTTTCCTTGACATGAACTCAGTTTGAGATCAGTATTGAACATGACATTTTCTTTTTATTTATATACCTCCGTTTATCCACAAGTATTAAGTCAAAATTGATTTTAGCAACAGAATAAAGCTCTGTAGGTTCTGTTCAATGATGTCAAATCTATCCCTGACAAGTGTCCCATTTTTGCTCTTCCTGAATAGCATGGCTTCAAAAAAATCTAGAAAATGAAAAATTCTATAGCGCAGAAGGTTAATAGTGGTGAATCTCTAAAATAAGTAGATTGTTTTGGAGTCATGTTTGTGTCTTGAATCACTTTAAAAATTTTGAAAACAAAATTTGATAGATTTTGAAAAAGGTTATGTTTGCATTTCTGTTGTTAAGGTGATGTTTCCTGGAGTGATCTAAAAAGAACCTATGAGGAGGTGAAATAAGAGAACTAGAAAACAGAAGACAGCATGTTTCTAATCCCAGAAATTAGGTTTCTGGGACAGGTAAGGAAAATAAAGAGCCCAGGTGTACAAAATCAATAAAGAGCAAGAATTATTAAAGGTAGTTAAGAGAGCCTCACTTTCTCATCTAGCATCTCAAGCCACCCACTGTCTCTGGGTGTGTTCTTGGTAAAAACAGACACTTAAAAGTTTATTACTAAGAAAAAGGAAAGAGAATAAGATAAAAATACAGTCTTTTGAAAAAAATCTGCCCAATTTTATTGACAAAATTCACCATGCATTTCAATATAGAATGAGGAAACATTAAATTAGGTATTATTTGCAAAAGAAAAATGCTTTGTATGAGGGAGAAAATAACCATACATATTGAGTACAGTGTACCCTGCTTGAGTGATAGGTGCACTCATATCTCAGATGTCACCACTATACAGTTCATCCATGTAACCAAAAACCATTTGTATCCCCAAATCTATTGAAGTAAATAAAAAATTTAAAAAATAAAAATGCAGGCCGGAAACAGTGGCTCACGCCTGTAATGCCAGTACTTTTGGGAGGCCGAGGCGGGCGGATCACAAGGTCAGGAGATCGAGACCATCCTGGCTAACACGGTGAAACGCTGTCTGTACTAAAAATACAAAAAATTAGCTGGGCATGGTGGCGGGCACCTGTAGTCCCAGCTACTCAGGAGGCTGAGGCAGGAGAATGGCATGAATCCGGGAGGCGGAGTTTGTAGTGAGCAGAGATCGCACCACTGCACTCCAGCCTGGGCCACAGAGCGAGACTCTATGTCTCAAAAAAAATAAATAAATAAAAATAAATAAATAAATAAAAATAAAAATGCTTTGTATGTAGTAAAATACTAAAAGTTATGAAAATATTGAATAATAATATTTTAAGAAGTGAAAAATAAAAGTTTCCCTGAAAGCATAAAGAATATTATCTTTAAAATTCTGTTACAAAATGTTTACTTATAATTTTTTTCAATGAAATGAAGTAGCATTGATACCCTGCTTACAGAACAGCATGAGACTTGAATCTGAAAGGCAAATAACCAACAGTTAGGAGGGTATAGTACTGTGTGATATATGTATGACTGCTATAGATTCATTTATACTGACTGAAACACATGTTCTAATTAACCTGAGTGGGGGTCTTAAAGGATTCCTGGTCAACTGTTATACTGCAATGCATTTTTCTCACTTTATATTTAAGTATACCCCCTTTAAAAGATGGAATGCTTTAAAATACATTTACTACATAGGCAATTTGATTAATATTTGTTTTTATTTTCCCTTCACAAATAATTCGATGAGCTAGCTTATGAAGGCAATGCATCTGCACATTTAGGAATATGTTCCAAATCTAGTCTATGTTTCCATGGGCATTTACCAACTGCATATAACACTCACAGCAAAAGCTAAACAAGATTAGTGATTCCCAACTACCAGAGGATAAAATCAATTTATCATCCATTCTAGCAGAAGCCATGGAGTTTTATAAGTGATTAAATTGAAGGAGGCGCTTTGGGCAATGTAGAAATAGAGCATTTCTTGATAAAATGATGAGTGAGGTTGTCAAATCTGTGATAAGCCTGTGATGCCGGCTAGGCAGGTCAGCTCCTCTGGGACCCTAGTTACAATGGCATTTTCTTATGTTTGACATGTATCTGGATCCAAGGGAGAGAACAGATTTCCCAAAACAACCCTTTATTGTTTTCTCATTTCCATGTCGAGTAAGTAAAGCATACATTACATATTTGTGTGTTTTCTTCGAATTAAGGTTTGTTCTAGCTGACCACAGAATAGAGACAATAAAAATTCATGATGTGGGGGAGAGTTAACTGGATTATGTCAGGGGAATTGTTTGTGTCTAGCCCTTGCCTCTGATAATTAGTTACCCTCTGACCTTAGGTGAATCACTTTCATCTCCTCGTTTTCAGTTTCCTCCCCTGCAAAATAATGAAGGCAAGCAGAATCAAATGGAAAGTTCTTGCCACCTCTAACAGGTCATTTTTTTTTTTTTTTTTTTTTGCCTTCGTAAAGCACTACAGTATAAGCATTAAATTTACTTTTGTATAGTGAGTATTTTCAGGACGAGAATAGCATAGGGATAAATGTATGCTTGGTTTTTTGAGGTTGAATAGTAACCTTAAATTTTGTTGTTGTTGTTATTTCTATTTGCATTCTAAGAATATGCTTGTGCAGAAGTGTAGACGATGGTGAAGAAATGAGAAAGGGTAAGGCATGAGAATAAAGACATAGGAGACTAAACAAGGTAGGCTTATGGGTACAAGTGGTAAGGCCAAATCACCTTCTTCAAAGGTAGGCCTCAAAATTCACCTTGCCAGAATTTCAAAAGAAGGTCAAAAAAAGAGGAAAATGAGCAGCAAAGATCTACTCAGCCAAATTGTGAGTACTGGATTAGGACGGATTGTGGAGTGAGGCTCCTTCCTACTTCTTATATTTGCTGGGTCTAAATAGAAGCCCCAGATGTGCCTTGATTGAGGATGGCAAAAAAGTGTGAATGCTCTGTTGAATGGGACCTCACCACAGCTCTTCCCTGCCCTGATATGTGTCTCCAAGTGTATTTGTAACCCATGCGACGTGAAGAAAACATACAGCCTTCTTGGGTGATGATCAAGTCTCCTAAGCCTAAATGGTCTCTAGATGTGGCTCTGAGTTCAGGCGGTGATGACTTTCTCAAAAGCCCACAATACGCGTGGACATGTGCTGATGTCCATGTGGAAACATGCTAAAGGAAAGGAAAGTTAGAAACATAAGAAGCCCTCCATTTACTTCGTCAATTCCTTGAGTTTATAAAATTGATCTTTTCAGATACATTCACCGATTTAGCAAATGATGATAAATACATTGAATTTAATCCTGTCTGGTTTATGGCTATTAAAAACAATGAATTTTAATGGAGAACAATTGAAACTAAAATAAAAATTACAATGAACTAGAATAAAATAGCACAAATTAATTCTGCCAGTCAGAAGTGAAACATTGTAAGATATCCCTTGTGATCTTCTAGAAGGGTTTTGCTTTCCGAGGCTCTGGCAAACTGGTTGGAAGCTATTGCCTTCCTGATTTTCACTTACTTCATCCCCTAAAAGCCTTCTTTTTTTTCCCATATCAAGATCAAAGACGAAATCCATGTCTACCAGGCTGTTTGTAGATTTTATCACTTATTTCATGGGGATTGAAGAACTATTAGATGATATTTGAGAATAACAGCCAAATGAGCATATTAGCCATTCAGGTATAACAAAAATGGAAGTCAGCAGTCTATCTTTAATTTTGTCACATCCTGTAGACTTAAATCATCCAACTGCAGAGCATCTGTTAATGTGTTCTCAGTTCTTGAGTTATAGTTAACCTAATGCCACTGGCCCTACTAAGGGGGAAATTCAGAAACTTCCCATTGGAATTGTGGAGTGGGCATTAACCTCGAGGGAATACCAAGGTCCACAGTACATGTAATCTCCTTTCCACTTCTTAATGACCCTGTTTTATTGTGTTCATTTTACAATTGTGAAAACTGAGGCTCAGAGTGAACAACGTGTCAGTCTCTGCTCTTCTTGTACATGCACCTACTTACCACTTCTACTTATTGAATCTGGTCTCAGGACTTAGTACTTTATCTCCTCTGTTTCTAAATTTGGGTTAAAGTTGTGTCTATTGATTAAAAATCTTAAACACTGAAAAAGTATGAATGCACTTAAATTTCCCATTTCTGAAAAACATTTACTAGTTTTCTGATTAAAACATTGTTTATCTATCTATATCTGTGGTTTGTATAATCATTTTTATCAAGAATTGAAGGTAATGTATTTTCAAATTAGAAATGTATACTTTACCGTTTACTATTTATTAATAAATAAGTCATATTTTAATATGCTTCTTCCTTCCAGTAAACAACACTTCTCTTTTTTTGGAGAGTTCAATGATTTTAGCCAACTTCAGGCTTCTTAGTTCCTGAGTCTACAGTGTACTTCACCCAAACTTGTCTTCATAAGTAAATCCCTCATAATCCATATTCATTCTATACTTTCTCTTCTCCAACAAAATTCTTACCTTTCTAGTGTTCTTCTATCCGTCAGAATTAAAAGAAGAGGTCTTGTCAAATTGATTCTTATTGAATATTTTTTGATGTGATTTCTCAAGTTCTCCCTAAATGATTTTTTTATTTATTCTAACATGTATCTATGATTACTTACTTTTAAGTAATCATACATATGATTTCCATATATAAACATATATATACATTATATGTATGTAATTTAATATATAATATATTTAAGTAATCATATATATGGTTTATATATAAACACATATATACAATTATATATGTTTATTCAAACATATATAAACATATATTCTAACATATACATAAACATAGAATAAACATATATATAATTGATTACTTACTTACTAAAGTACTGTACTGGAGTTGAAATAAAGAAAAAGATACATGGAACTCACAGTTAGTAAGAGAAGTTAAAGGTACAAAGTAATAAATGGCATGTAGTCTGTGTAGATAAAGCATTAATTGAATTCAGAAGCAGGAAATACATCTGGAGATGATCTTGGAGAGCCTATCAATGCAACTGGCATTCACACTGCTTCTAAAAGAAGAAGGATTTGGAAATTTAAAGATGGGAAAGGATATCTGAGGAGGAATTATAGCATGAGTCTGCCTAGACCACATCCTCATTTCCCTTCAGGAACTGTAATGAAGAATTTGGGAGCCTCCTTGGCCATCTTCAATTACTTCACAGAGAGAAACATCAAAATTTCCTCCACCATAAGCCTGCCCTAATTTATTTTTGTTTTGTTCTACAGAGCACTCCATTTTTAGCAGAAATAACTATAGATTGCAATGCTTGAAACCAGGTTGTATTTTGTGAAAAATACTTGTTTTAAGATAAAACAATTTAATTCACATTACTTAAAATTCTATAAGCTTTTCCCCCCAAACTCAGAGAATTGGATCAAATTGGACTTTAGAAATTTTCATTTTCAATTCCGTTTACAATCAGTAATAAAATTAAGCATTTTAGATTGACTTTTTCTTTGATTTGTTTATATACACTGTGAACGAAATAATAAAACAAAGTTGTATAGGAAGAAAGTTGCAAAAAAAAAAAAAATCCTGTCGGTTCAGAGTTCATTTAGATAAAGGCCCTTTGAGTCATGTTCCTTACTTTCTGGAGAGGAGAACTAATTTTTACTCCAGTAGATGGTTCATATATCAATTTAAAGAGGGAAAAGTAACACAGAAACACATTTCCAAAAGCATGGGTGCTGAAAAGACTTAGACTAATTTTCTCTCAAGAGCACTAATGTGTTAATCTAGCCAAACACAGTCATAGTGTAAGATCAAGAAGTATGATCTATGGTGTCACATTTTTAAAAGTACACATAGCATTGAAGAGAAATCTTACCTGTTTCAAAGCAAGTCCTCTACATTCAGCCTTCCATATAATTTCCTGTTGGCTGTGACTTCTTCATACTGCATCTTAAATAGATTATCTGTACTCTGCCAATGATCTGTCTATTGACATGAATTATGTTCCATTCTGACTTGTATATATACAAGCTGCAATTTGAAATCACTTTTAGTCTAATTTATTTAGCTGAATATATATATTTATTTAGACAGAGTTTTGCTCTCTTGCCCAGGCTGGAGTGCAGTGGCGCCATCTTGGCTCACTGCAATCTCCACATCCTGGGTTCAAGCGATTCTCCTGCTTCAGCCTCCTGAGTAGCTGGGATAACAGGCATGCCACCACACCTGGCTGATTTTTGTATTTTTAGTACAGACCGGGTTTCACTAATCTATAAACCAAATCTATAATTCCACTAATCTATAAACCAAATCCCCAAGCCAGCACCACACTGTCTTTATTATTGTAATTTGGTAGTAAGTTTTAAATTGGAAACTGTGAGTTTCACAACTTTTTTGCCCCAACATTTTGACTATTTTGTGTCATTTGCATTCTATATGAATTTTAGGATTAGCTTCTTTTTTTTATCCCTCCCCTTCCTCCCCCCACACCCCGAAGGCCCTAGTGTGTGATCTTCCCCTCCCTGTGCCCATATATTATCATTGTTCAACTCCTACTTATGAGTGAGAACATGCGGTGTTTGGTTACCTGTTCCTGTGTTAGTTTGCTGAGAATGATCGTTTCCAGGATTAGCTTTCTAATTCTGCAAGAATAGCCACTGGTGTTGTATTGAAGCTGTATATCAATTTGAGGAGTATTGCTGTTTTAACACTGTAACTCTTACAATCCATAAACACTGAATATTCTTTCATTTCTTTGGGTCTTTAAAAATTTCTTTTAGCAACATTTTGCAGTTTTTAGAGTACAAGTCTTACACTTTTGTGTGTATGTGTGTGTAATTTATTCCTAAATATTTTCTTTTTTATATCATTGTAAGTAAAAATTTTTATTAATTTTATTTTCAGATTGTTTATTGCTAGTGTTTTTTTATATTGAAGTTGTATCTTGCCATCTTGCTGAACTCATTTATTAATTTGATCTTTTTGTGTGAATTCCTTAGAATTCCTAAATATCAGATTATGTCATCTGAGAATAGGTGTTACCAAAACAGATTATGTCATCTGAGAATAGGTGTTACCAAAACAGATTATGTCATCTGAGAATAGGTGTTACCAACACAGGGGTTCGGGCTAGGTCCTGCATCTTGCAGCACAGAAAGCCAATTACTGAGATGATGATTATTGCCAAGGAAGAAGGCTTTAATCAGGTGCTACAGTCGAGGAGATGGGAGTTCAGTCTCAAACCATCTGCCTGATAGACTAAAAATTAGGAGTTTGTATAGCAGGGAAGAAATGTAACTATATATGAGAAAACAGAAACTTAGTTGGGGGGAGGTAAAGAAGTAATCCTGATAAATGAGGGGCCTGGAGTCTCATTGTCTGGTTGCTATAATCCGGTGAGTTTCAGTTCTTTTCTACTTTTTGGGAGGCCTGAAGATATTTTTCTGAGGCAGGAACTCAGATAAAACAAATGTAAGTTTCAAGCTTTAAGACCAACAGGGTCAATTTCTATGTTTATCCAAAGACGTGTCTGTGAGAGTGTTGGGTTGGTTTCAAAGGGATGGCTTTGTTTCTTCCTTCTAATTTCGGTACCTTTGATTTAATTTTCTAGACTATTTTATCTGGCCAGAACCACCAATACAGTGTAGAATAGAAGTGGGCTAAACAGATATTTATGTGTTGTTCCTAATCTTCAAAGAATGCATTTCATTTTTCACCATTAATTATTGTGTTAACTATGAGTTGTTCATTGTTGGCCTTTGTTAGGGTGAGGCAATTTGCCTCTATTCTTAGTTTGTTGACTATACTTATCATGAAAGGGTGCCAGATTTTGCCAAAATTTTTTTCAATCTATTGAGATGGTCTTGAGGAATTTTTTTCTTAATTCTATTGATATAATATACTATATTCATTGATTTTCATATTCTAAACTAATCTTGCATACTTGATAAATCTTATTTGGTCCTGGTGTATAAATTTTTGTATATATTTTTGGATGATGCAGTCTGCTAGTATTTTTGTTGAGGATTTTTACATACATATTAATAAGAAATATTGATTTATAGTTTTTTCTGTGATGCCTTCACATACTTTTGGTATGAAGGTATATAGGACTCAGACATGAACTGGGAAGTGTTCCCTTCTATTCTATATTTTGGAAGTGTTTGCGAAGGATTACTGTTAATTCTTTAAACATTTGGTAGAATTCACCAGTGAATCTACTTTGGCTTGAAGTTTCTGTTGTGGAAATTTTTTTTTTATTACTAATCCAATCTCTTTATGTGTTTTACATATATGCTAATTTTACCTTTCTTCTTGAGGCAGTTTTGTTATTTGTGTCTTCCTAGGAATTTGCCCATTTTCCCCAGTTTATCTCACTTGTAGGCATAGAATTGTTTATATTATTCCTTTGTAAGCTTTTTTATTTGTAATTAAAATCCTGGTAGTAATATCTAGTAATATTGCTGTTAATTTCTCCTTTTCAACCGTAAGTAATTAGAGTATTCTTTCTTTTTCTCTTTGTCAAAGTAGTGTGTTGGATAGTGGCCTTGAAAAATATATGCCCACCCAGAACCTGTGACTGTGAAGCATTTGATAAAAGAGTGTTTGCAGATATAATTAAAGGATTATGAATGAGATTATCCTGTGTTATCAAGGTACATCCTAAATCTAATGACAAGTGTCATTATAAGAGAAAGGCAGAGGGTGATTTGAAACAGACAAAAGAGAAGACTTAGACAAGGGTAGAAGGGAAGGCCATGTTAACCTGAAGCAGAGATTAGAGTTATTCATCAACAAGCCATGGAATGCCTGGGGCTACCAGAAGCTGAAACAAACAAGGAGGTATTTGTTTGTGTACCCATTAACCAACCTCTCTTTATTCCTCTCTTTGCCCTATCCTTCCGAGCCTCTGATGACCACCAATCTACTCCTAACTACATGAAGTGAATATTTTTAGCATTATATATGAGTGAGAACATGTGCTATTTGTCTTTATGTGCCTGGCCTATTTTATTTACCATAATGTCTATTTCCATCCAAGTGGCTGCAAATAACAGGATTTCGTTATTTTTATGGCTAAATAATATTCCATTGTGTGTGTATATATATGAATATATATATATATATATATATATATATATATATATGTCATATTTTCTTTATCCATTCATCTGTTGGTGTACATTTAGGTTGATTCTATATTTTGGCTATTGTGAATAGTGCCGCAATGAACACAGGAGTTCAGGTATCTCTTTGATATACTGATTTCCTTTATTTTGGTTTTAGAACCATTAGTGAGATTTCTGGATCATACTGTTGTTCCATTATTAGTTTTTTGAGAAATGTGCATACTGTTTTCCATACTGTCTCTATTAATTTACCTCCCCATCAGCAGTGTTCAAGTGTTGCCCTTCTCTTCATCCTCACCAACATTTATTATTTTCTGTCTTTTTGATAATAGTCATTTTAAGTGGAGTGAGATGATATTTCATTGTGATTTTTGTTGTTGTTGTTTTGAAACAGAGCCCCTCTCTTTCATCCAGGCTGGAGTGCAATGGCGCAATCTAGGCTTACTGCAACCTCTCCCTCCCAGGTTCAAGCAATTCTCATGTCTCAGCCTCCCAAATAGCTGAGGCATGCTGCAAGCGTGCACCAACATGCTGGCTAATTTTTGTATTTTTTGTAGAAATGAGGTTTTGTCATGTTGGCCAGGCTGGTCTTGAAGTCCTGACCTCAAGTGATCTGCCTGCCTCAGCCTACCAAAGTGCTGGGATTACAGGCAAGAGCCGCCTCAAACTGCCATCATTGTGATTTTGATTTGCAATTCTTTGATGATAAGTGAGGTTGAGTATTATTTTCATATACTTGTTAGCTATTTGTATGTCTTCTTTTGAGAAATTTCTAGTCAGATCTTTTGCTCATTTTAAAATCGGAGTTTTTTTATTGAGTTGAGTTCCTTATTTATTCTGGTTATTTATCTTTTGTCAGATGGATATTTGCAAATGTTTTCTCCCATTCTGTAAGTCGTAATTTAATTTTATTGATTATTTCCTTTGCAGTAAAGAAGCTTTTTTATTTGATCCAATAACATGTAATTTTTTTGTTTGTTTCTTTTTGCTTTTGTTATCTGTGCTTTTGAGGTCTTACTAAAAAAATCTTTGCCAAGATCAAACTTGTCCAACCCGCAGCCTATGGGCCACATGCAGCTCAGGATGGCTTTGAATATGGCCCAGTACAAATTTGTAAACTTTCTTAAAACATTATGAAATTTATTGGCAATTTTTGTTTAGCTCATCAGCTATCTTAAGTGTTAGTGTATTCAATGTGTGGCCCAAGGTAATTCTTCCAATGTGGCCTAGCCAAAAGATTGTATACCTCTGGATTAGATCAATGTCCTGAAACATTTATTCAGTGTTTTCTTCTAGTAGTTTCAGAGTTTTAGGTCTTACATGTAAGGTCTTACACTTAAGTCTTTAATCCATTATATTTGATTTTTGTATATGGTGAGAGAATGGGTCTAGTTTCTTTCTTCTGCACATGGTTATCCAATTTTCCCATCACCACTTATTGAAGAGACTGTACTTTACCTAATGTGTGTTCTTGGTGCCTTTGTCAAAAATGAGTTGGCTATAAATGCATGGAGTTATTTCTGGGTTCTCTATTCTGTTCCCTTGGCCAGTGTGTTTGTTTTTATGCCAGTACTATGTTGTTTTGATTACTGTCAGGTTCCAACCTGAGCTGGGGTCTGAGGGGACAGGTGGCAGGTGGCTAAAAGAACACTCAAGGGACCATAGGCAGTTGGGAAATGGTGTTATTCTCTTCCCCTCCTATAGAGTCAGCTGTGCAGTTATATTTCTCACAGACAACAGTGGCTCAAAGCCAGATACGAGCTCACACAAACAGGTTACATTAAATGGCTACAAATGTGATTACATAGTGCGCGGAATTGTGCGCCTGCACTACAAACCCACTGTGTCATGCTGTACCAGATGTCTGCCTCAGCCTTCTCCTGACCAAAGCACAGCCACTTTCCTTACGCTCCACCCTCTAGGCTAAGGGAGTTCTCCTAGCAGGGAGACATGCCCACAGGGCAGAAACCTGGACACAGAGGCCACAGCAGCAATACAGGGAGCAACAACTCACTACTAGTATTCCTGCTATGCTGCCCATGATTATTAGGGTCCAGCATAGGCCAGAGCCCAGAGACACCCACCATGTCTATGGGGGGTCATCAGTAAGGCTGTCAGCTGCCTTGATTTCCTGGGAAACTCCTTGCAAAGCTGCTATGTTTTGTTGATTGTCAGGGATGAAGGTACAACATTGCATTCCCAAAACAGCACAGATGCCACCTTGGGCAGCAATCAATATGTAGGCCTATCAGGTTCTGCACTACCACTTTCCTGGTTTGATCAACATCATCTGTCAACAGAAGGAGGACAACTTGGGTGTAATTCAAGTCTCAAGTGTTATGCTCTGGAAGGGCCATAACTTGCATTTCTACAGTTACGACACCTGCTCCAGGGATGGTTAATGCTAAGAGGTAGAGCCACCAGGGGGCTCATCACACTTGCAAAAACCAGGAACGTAGCACCTTCCAGTTATGTGGGCATCTAAGGAATGTGGAAATAACTGTGGCAAGCACATAAGGCCACCCCCAGGTAGAGCGGCCAATCCTGTTTGCTGGCAAATATGACCATACTGTGTCTCCACAGTCCCATAAACTCCCAGGGGGCACAAAGTCCTCTGGGGCCCAGCCTTGATGTGGTCACCTATTCCATCACACCTTTGGTGTGGTGATAACATATTATATGTGTTCAGACTATGGCAGACAACCACCCCACGGTGACATTACCCCAGTGTTGCTCTACACATCATGATACCTGTGTTAGGGGCACCTTGTGTTCTCCCACTAACGAGCCCCATCCATCACAGACATTACAGGTCAGCCAGGAAGCAAGCATGCCATGGGTTTTGTGGCATCCCCTATCCAAAGCTGCCCATGTTGCATTCTAAACGTCAGCCATGGAACTCCTAGTGTCCATCCATGTCCAGTTTTCCACAGAAGCTGGATGTATGTGCCAGGGCAAGACATCCCCTGCTGCTGCTTGAAGGGTGGTGCAGATCCAACGGTTGGACACATTGGTCAACTCATCGTAGGTGTGGGACCATTCCACAATGCTGTTGGAGCATGTCAACCTATGGTCTAAATGACAAAGTAGGCACAGGTACTAACAGGGGTAAATCATGCCCTTCAGGCAAAATACAGGCCAAGCTTTCATCTCTAGATAACAATGCAACTGCAAAGGACTTCTGCCCTGGGTGATGGTACCACAACTTTTCAGCACCCCATGGTTCCTTTGGGTCTATATCTTGCCAGAGTTACTGGGGAGCTCATAATAGGCCACACAGGAAATACAGATGTTCCCTGGAGACTTCCTTCCCTGGCCATTCCCCTATGAATGGTCAATCATAGAGGCCATATATTAAGTACCCAATGAGTGACATGTAAATCATACTATAGGCTCTCCCTGCAAGGGACTATGATAGCCAACCATACGTCATGGTGGACTTGGAGGGTCTGTGGCCAAAGCCAGGTTTTTTGTTCCCCTGCCTTTACAGACATTGGGGCAGGCAACAACAGATTACCATTGTCCCCATACCTGGTTGGAGGAAGTCATCTTTGGTGTGCATCTGTAAGTGGATGGGGTCAGTGGCACAGTGTAGCAGTGCCTCTACTGGGGCCTGGCTGCCTTTTCATGGCCGCTCATTCAAGCTTTGGAGCACCAGGTCCAACCTTGAACTCTAGCCCCACAAAGAGGTGGAGTAACATGCAAATGTAACTTATTTTTCAGGAGTCCCTTATATCACTCAATAATACCAGTAGTTTGTGGGTTATATGGAACCTCCACTTTATGTCCATCCATTGTGCCCACTGTTGTACGTGCTATCCAGGAAAATGTGTTCCCCTATCACATTCAACAGTCAGGGGATGACTGTATAGGGCACACAAGTGTTGCAGGGCCTGAATTGTATGTTGTTGGTTGGCCATCCTGCAAGGGTAGGCAAACAGCAGACTGGTGGCCGTGTCTACAGCTGTCAGCACATGCATATGCCCCTGCAACCTCAGCAGTGACCTGATGTAGTCTATTTGCCATCTAGTCAAGAGCATCCACCCTACTGTCACTTGTTGTGTAACATTGGGCAGCTGTCTCTGTCTGGGGTATGTCTGTGTCCACGCTGGGCATTTCTGGCAGACCTCCCAGATATCTTACATAGACAAAGATAGACCATAGCACTTATTGACCTATTCCATTAGTTTACTCCCGACGTGGCCCAATTTCTGCTGCAGCCATAGAGCTACATCTCGTGTAGGTGCTGACTCCAACCACCGGACCTGGCCAAGGCATTTGCCTCATCATTGCCCAGGGCAGTGAAAGGCACATGTCCTGACACATGATAAATAGTTACAACCTTTCGATGGCCCATTTCCCATAGGTCTGGCCACATGGCCTGGCCCCAAATGGGCCTGTGACCAACTAGCTAATTCTGTAACTTTCAGGTAGTTAACCACAAGGTTAGGGCTTAATAAACTGCCCAGCTACCAGTGAAGATTACCATAGGTGTCTCCTCCTTAGTGATCACCATCCACAGTGCCCTGAGTTCAACCTATTGACTACTTTGTCCAGGTATTAAACCATATGGTATCAGTACTAGGCTGGACCATGACAGCAGTCCAGGCAGCAGTAGCACCCTGGCTGGACCCATCCTGTCTACCATGCCTCATCAGGAATGGGAGGTGCCTCTCTTGAAATGGTAATGGCTCAGTGTTTAGGGGCGCCTCAGGCTGACCCATGGCCTTATCTTGCATCAGGACTACAGGTCCCAAGACTTCTTATAATTCTGCTGATAAGGGGCTTGTACTCAGGGTACTCTGCTGTTCTAAGTAGGAGCCCCACTTTGCTAAGGTGGATATCTCTGCCATCCCAGTCTGGGGTTCATTACCCATGAACATACTTGCTCCCCAACTATTGGGTAAGTTGTCCACACAATGACTGTAGCCCTTCCTGTCACACTCTCACAAGCCTGAAGGGTGGCATATACAGTTGTTAATTCCTTCTCTATCCATGAATAGCAGAGCTCACCTCCATTCCAAAGTTGGGACCAAAAGCCTACTTGTGTTCTACAGTGCTCTCTGCACTGCCATAGGCCCCAGCCAAAACCTTCTGTGGTCACATGCACATCAAGTTCAAATGGGTGCCCCAGGTCAATTACTTGTAGCACCTGCACTTGCTGTATGGCCCATTTGGCTGCCAGAAAAGCCATCTCAGCCTCATTGTCCCAATCCCAAGTAATTCCTGTTTTTGTCAACTGATACAATGGTTTTGTTTTCTGAGCCAAATGGAGCACAAATGCTTTCCAATATCCCAAGAGGCTCACAAAAGTCTCTAGTTGCCTCATTATTGTGGTCTGGGGATATGCCTGAATTTTATTAATGATGGCCTCTGGTATGGCGTTCGTCTTACCCAACCAGATAACTCCCAAAACTTTGGCAGACAATCCAGGCCTTTGGACCTTGTTTTCATTCACAGCCAAACTGCATGCTGCCAAATGTTGCTGTAGGAGGGGTGCCGCTATTTCTAAATCTGCAAGAGAATCAGAGGTTAACATAATATCATCCATATAATGGAAAAGGTGGACCCCCTTTATGACATATGGTGGGTTTATGCACACAGCCCTGCAGCAACACCGTGAAAGTCTATTGTCGCCCTTTCCATGTGAAGACAAACTGTTCCTGGCTCTCTGGTGTGATGTCAATTGGGAAGAATGTATGGGCCAAGTCCATCACACAGTGGTACTGTCCCAATTCCATCATCAAGTGATCCATCAAATCCGTGATAGACAGCACAGCTGCATGTGAAGGGGGTGTTACTTTATTTAGTTCTCGAACATCCACCATCATCTTCCAAGTTCCGTCAGGCTTTCTGACTGGCCATACCAGAGAATTGTAGGGTTTGTGCATTCCATGCACTATCTGCACCTCCTCTAACATCTTACTAGTCTCAGTTATCGCCATATGGCCACCTGGAAAGTGGTATTGATGGGTGGAAGTAACCTGTCGGGGTTGTGGCAGGACCTGGGGCCAGTGATACGTATGTCCACCCGATAATGGCTCAACCACATGTATTTGGAGTCTGAATTCTCTGACCGTGGCTTGTAAAACCAAGCTGTGAAAAATATCTACCCTGGAATGTATTCAAGTATGGAGGAGATATACACAGTTTATAAGCATGCAGCCAAGTGCCTGAGGCCAAGGTGCAAAGATGCAGGCTTCACTCCCACTGACTGGCCTCTGTCTATGTATGCAACCTTGCCTGGAAACTTATCCGGGTTCCCATAGATGAGGCTACAATCTGTGCCAATGTCTACCAGCAGCAGCACCTGCTGTACATTGGTGGGAGACCAGTGGACTGCCAATTCCACATGTGGCCTCCTGTTGTCTGGTGTCCCCCCAAGCTGGGCACCTTGACCAGTTTCCTAATCAAACACAAAACGCTCTATACCTTCACCCATCTGCAAGTAGTCCTTGAGCTGGAGCATCTGGGTGGGACATGGTCAAGCAGCATCATCCCGCCCGCTGTTGGGCATTTTCTGGAATTGGTGATTCAGGGACAATTGCCTCCACAAAGTTAACAGCACTTCATTGGGTTGCCTCTCAGTTTTCTCTCGGTCAACCCCAGCCAAAATCAAACCAATCCACATATGTGTATGAGTCACCACTGGGGCCCTTTTGTCCCATGAGATGGCCCCCTGCAGAAGGAGTACCTTCCCCCTTTTTATGGCATAGACTCCTCTGCTTCCCCGAGGGCTGCCATGGCAGTAGTCACCTCATGTATGCAGCACCCTGCACACAGATTGACAGTGGCCAGGGAGCCAAAGGCACTCAGGGGTGCAGAGCACAACACAAGGTCCCTCATGTGGGAGGTAAGGTGTTCATCATCTGGCCCTCGGGTATTCGGATCAAACATAGCCTGCTGCATACCCATCTCCTGAATTACCTGCACCACATCTGTTTATGACTGCCATTTACTCACAGTTTCTGGTATTTCTCTGGCATAGTCCCACACCATTTGCATGGCCTCCATCAGCCATTCAATTATGGTGTGGTTGCCTTGCCCCTGTGCTAACCACTTGCTCACCTGCAATTGCTGATGGAGGGAGGGATGAGTCATAATGGAGGCCAACTTTTCCATCTCAGAGGAGGAGCAGACAATACTGTTGGCTCCCTCATCCCAAAGGCGAAGCATCTAGGTGGGTAGGATTTCCCCCAAGCGCTGCCAGCACTGTTTACTTTATTCCCACAACTCCGTTGGGGTATAGGCAGTGTATGACTTGTGCTCCATCATGGTAGGAGGTCTCTGAGCCCACCCCTGGGGCCTCAATGACTTCCTGGTGTATTTTCTGATGAGCCACTGGGGGAGCCCACAACAGAGGTTCTTCCTCCTCGGTGTCAGATCGGGCAGGGGTCTCTGACTGGGGTGGCAGGCCCAAGCCTACACTAATAGCAGCCTCTAATTCTCACTCCAACCTGTGTACGTCGGCCTTCAGGCTCTCTGCTTGTGCCTGGAGGTCCCTTACCTGTGCTGCATCCTGCAGGGACTGAGCATGCACTTCCCATAGCACAGTCAAAAATGCCCATCCAATTCTGCTGGGAAAGGCACACTCCTTCTCAGTGCTCTGTGCTTCCAGGTGCTTCAGTGCCTTATCCATGCACACAGGGGACCTGTCCACCACCACCCATGTCTCCACCAGGGCCCATCTTAGCAGCATGGCTGTCACTGGGTACCATAACCCATATTGGGGCCACACGGCTGACCTAGGATCATCAGGGGCCAAGGGCTCACTCACCTCGGAATCCTGCTGACTACACCAATTGTCAAGTTCCAGTTCCCAGACTAAGCTGGGGTCTGAGGGGAGCTGGTGAACAGGTGGCAGGCAGCTGAAAAACACTCAAGGGACCACAGGCAGTTGGGACATGGCTTTATTCTCTCCCCCTCCTACAGAGTCAGCAGTGCAGTTATATTTCTCATAGACAACAGTAGTTCAAGGCCAGATATGAACTCAAACAGGTTACATTAAATGGCTACATAAATGTGATTATATAGTGCATGGGATTGTGTGCCTGCACTCCAAACCTGCTGTGTCGTGCTGTACTGGATGTCTGCCTTGGCCTACTCATGACTAAAGCACAGCCATATTCATTACAATTACTAGGGCTTTGTAGTATACTTTGAGGTCAGGTAGTGTGATGTTTCCAGCTTTGCCAATTGTGCTCATGGTTGCTTTGGCTATTCAGTATTGTTTGTGGTCCCATGTACATTTTAGGGTTGCTTTTTCTATTTCTGTGAAGAATGTAATTGGTATTTTGATAGGGACTGCATTCCATCCTTGATCATTTTAGATATTTTCATCATTTTAACAATATTAATTCTTGCAATCCACAGATATGGGATATCTTTCCATTTTAGGGGGTTTGTTCTTCAATTTCTTTTGTCAGTATAATTTTATTTGTAGAGATCCTTCACTTTTTTGTTTATATTTATTCCCAGGTATTTTTTTTTTCTTGTAGCTATTGTAAATGGGGTTGCTTTCTTGATTTCTTTTTCAGATTGTTTGCTGTTGGTGTACATAAATGCTACTGAGTTTTGTATTTAATTTTTGTATAATAAAACTGTACTAATTTTGTTTATCAGCTGTACTAGTTTTGGGGTGGTCTTTAGGTTTTTCTTTTTTCTTTGTTTTTGAGAGGGAGTCTCGCTCTGTCACCCAGCCTGGAGTGCAGTGGCCTGATCTCGGCTCACTGCAAGCTCCACCTCCCGGGTTCACACCATTCTCCTGCCTCAGCCTCCTGAGTAGCTGGGACCACAGGTGCCCATCACCATGCCCAGCTAATTTTTGTATTTTTTTTAGTAGAGACAGGGTTTCACCATGTTAGCCAGGAAGGTCTTGATCTCCTGACCTCGTGATCCACCCTCCTCAGCCTCCCAAAGTGCTGGGATTACAGGCATGTGCCACTGCACCCAGCCAGGTTTTTCTTAATATAAGATTGTGCCATCTGTGAACAGGAGTATTTTGATTTCTTCATTCCCAGTTTGGATGATCTTTATTTCTTTCTCAAACCTAATTGCTCTGGCTAGTACTTACCTAGTAGTATGTTGAATAAAAGTAGTGAAAGCGGTTAACCTTGTTGTTCCAGATCTCAAAGGAAAGGGTTTCAATTTTTCTCCATTTAGTATGACAATAGCTATGGGTTTGTCACGTAAGGCTTTATTGTTTTGAAGTATGTTCCTTCTATACCAAGATTGTTGAGAGCTTTTATCCTGAAAGGGTGTATTATATCAAATACTTTTTTAGCATCTATGGAAATAAACATTTTTTTAAAAATTCTGTTAATATGATGTATCACATTTACAGATTTAAATATGTTGAACCATCTTTGCATCACTGGGATGAATCTCATTTGATCATGATGAATGATCTTTTTAATATGTTATTGAATTATGTTTGCTAGTATTTTGTTGAGAATTTTGCATTTTATTCATTATGAATATTGACCTGCACTTTCCTTTTTTGTGTTGTCCTTGCATGGATTTGGTATCAGCATAATTCTGGCCTCATAAAATGAGTTTGGAAGTATTTCATCCTCTTAAATATTTTTTGAAGAGTTTGAGTAGAATTGTTATTGGTTCTTCTTTAAAAATTTGGTAGAGTTCAGCAGTTCTCATTAAGTCCTGGGTTTTTATATGGGAGGCTTTTTATTACTGCTTCAACTGCCTTATTCAATATTGGTCTGTTCAGATGTTCTATTTCCTCATATTTCAATCTTGGTAAGTTGTATGTACCTATGAATTTTTTCTTTGAATTTTTTTGTTGAAGGTTTTCTGATTTGTTGGAATATAGTTGTTATAATATGCTATAATCATCCTTTGTATTTTGTGATGTCATTAAATACAAAGCTGTAATGTCTCCTTTTTCATTTTTTATTTTATTTATTTAGGTCTTCTTTTTTTTCTTCCTTAGTCTACCTAAAGCTTTGTCAATTTTGATTATCTGTTTTTAAAAATCAACTTTTCATTTTGTTGATCTTTTGTATGTTTTTAGTCTCGATTTCATTTATTTATTCTCTGAACTTTATGATTTCTTGCCTCATACTAATTTTGGGTTTGGTTTATTCTTGCCTTTCCAGTTTCTCTACATGTATCATTAGGCAGCTTATTTGAAGCTTTACCACTTTTTTTTATGTAGATGTTCATTGCTATAAATTTTCCCTTTAGTACTGCTTTTGCTGTATCCCATAGGTTTTGGTATGTTGTTTTTACATTTTCTCTTGTTTCTTTTTTTTTTCAAATTGTCCTAACTTTTTCATTGGCCCATTGGTTATTTAAGAGCATGTTGCTTAATTTTCATATATTCGTAGAGTTTCCAAGGTTTTTCTTATTATTGATTTATGATTTTTTCCATTGTGGTCGGAAAAGATATTTAATACTTGACTGTTTTAAATTTGTTGAGACATTGAGACATGTTTTGTGGCCTAATATATTATCTACCCTACAAAGTATTCCATGTACTGATGGGAAGAATGTGTATTATGCAGCCGTTGGATAAAATCTTCTTTAAAAGTCATTTAGGTCCATTTGCTCTATAATTTTGTTTAACTCCAATATTTGTTCATTAATTTTCTGTCTGGATGATCTGTCCATTACTGGTAGGGGGTTATTGATGTCTTGTACTATTATTTTATTGTGGTGTATATGTCCATTTAGATCTACTAATATTTGTTTAAATATGAGGCACTGTTGTGTTGATTACCTATATATTTACAATTGTTATATCCTCTTGCTGAATTGACCCTTTTATAATTACATAGTGATCTTCTTTGTGTCTTTTTACAGTTTTTTACTTGAAGTCTATTTTTATCTGATATAAGTATAGCTATTCCTGCTTTTTGTTTGTTTGTCTCCATTTACTTGGAAACTTTTGCCATTTATTCACTTTTATCCTATTTGTGTCTTTATAGGTGAAGTGAGTTTCTTGTTAGAAGTATATAGTTATATAATTGGATCTTTTAAAAAATATATTCATCTACCCTCTATCTTTTAATTGGAGAATTTTCCATTTACATTCAATGTTACTTTTTATAGGTAAGGACTTACTACTGCCATTTGGTTATTTGTTTTCTGATGTTTTGTAACTCCTCTTGGCATTTCTTCCTTCTTACCATCTTCCGTTTGGGTTTAGTAATTTTTCTCTGGTAGTATGTTTTGATTCCTTGCTTTTTATTTTGTGTGTCTCTTATACCATGAAGCTTATAAAAAATCTTATAGCTATATAAAGCTCTTTTAAACAAACAACAATTAACTTTGATAACAAAGAAAAGATACAGAAACAAAGAAAACTATAAAACGATCTTTGAACTTCATCCCCCCAGCATATTGACCTTTTTGTTGTCTCAGTTTGGATCTTTTTATATCTCTTAACAAGTTCTCATAGTTATTATTTTTAAAAATTTGTGTTTTAGTCTTCATACTATAGATATGAGTGGTTTTCACATTGCAATGACAGTGTTAGAGTATTCTGAATTTGTCTGTGTACTTACTTTTATCTGTGAGTCTATACATTAAGATGTTGTTTAACTGCATATTAGTGTCTTTTTCTTTTAAACTGAAAAATTCATTTTATTATTTCTTTTAAGAAAGGGTCTGGTCTTGGTGAATTTCCTCAGCTTCCGTTTTCTGGGAAAAGCTCCTCATTCCTTCAGGTTTGAAGGATACTTTTACTGAGTATAGTATGTTTTGTTTAGCAAGTTTTTTACTTCAGTACTTTTTATATATCCTTTTTTTAACTTCAGTACTTTTTATATATCATTCCATTCCACCTGGCCTGGTTTTCACTGAGAATCACTGAGATTTCACTGAGAAATCTGTTTTCAGATTGATCAGAGCTCCTTTTTATATTATTTGGTTATTTTCTCTTTCCACTTTAGGATTCTCTCTTTGCCTTGATATTTCACTGTTTGACTATTATATGACCTGGGATAGTATCATTTGGGTTGTATTTACTTAGTGATACTTGACCTTTCTGTACCTGGATATATCTATTTTTCTCTGGGTTTGCAAAGTTTTCTTTATTTCTGTGAATACTCTTTCTTCTCCTTGCTTTCTCTCAACCCCCTCTTGAAGGAAAATGACTCTTACATTTGCTCTTTAAAGGCTATTCTCTAGATCTCATAGGCGTTCTTTGTTTCTTTCCATTATTTTTCTCCTGTGACTCTATTTTCAAGTAGCTTGTCTTTTAGTTCACTGATTCTTTCCTCTGGTTGATCAGTCCTGCTGCTGAGACTCTCTGATGCATTTTTCATCTAATTCAATGTATTCTTTAGTTCCAGGATTTCTGTTTGATATTTTTAATGACTTTAATCTATTTGTTGAATTTCTGTAATAAATTTCTGAATTGCTTTTCTGTGTTTTCTGGGAGCTCATCAAAGAGTTTTGTTTTTTTTTTCTTCCAGTAACTCAACTCATACCATCTCATTAGGGTCAATCACTAGTTTCTTTCTTTGTACATTTGAGGTGGCCACGGTTGTGTTGTTTCTTATATATGTACATCTATATTCTTGCATTGAATAATTGGTTATTTATTGTAGTCTTTGCCTTCTGGCTTGGTTAGATCTTCCTGGATTATATCTGCTTAGAGGTGTACTGTATAGTTTACTTGTTGAATTCTCTTAACTTTAGATTGTGGCCTTCTTATTAGCATTACATGTCACCTCAATCCTAGGTTTGCCAGGGCTCTTGCAAAAGCTTGGGGTGCTGCTTTTCTTTAATGGGATGGGTTTCCCAAATGGAATATCCCAGCTATGTGAAAAGGCTGTCTATGGGTTCATGCCAAGAGGATCCATGGAGTATGCCTCTCATTGTATGGTGCTGCTGAACTGCCTTTCTGTTTTAGTATTTCTGTAGAGACAGCCTCTAAATTTTTCACACTATGGTTGCAAGCCCCTCTTTGATTCTTGGTTCTAGCTGTACTCTACTTTCTTTTTTTCCTCCTACAGGCTTTCAAAATGCTTCCCAACACATCTTGCATTAAGACAAGAATTAACTTACTGCAGAGGAATCCAAGATAATAGAGAAGCTGGCTGCCTACTCTGATCTCATTTTTCCAGTGAGACACATATGTGTGAGGGGAACTTTTCTGCATAGTGCTTGGCATCATGCATACAGAAATGTGTTTATCTTAGTGTCTGTTCACAATTTATCATTTGTTTGTGGCCCTATGGATTTTCACAGCCTAAGTTTTGAGTTTTGGGATATTACTGGTGATAGTCTTGGTGCCAAACAGTTGTTTCAGTTTTAATTTTGTGAAGGAGAGTGATGCCAAATTGTTGCTGCTCCATCATTTTGGTGATATCACCCACTTTTGTTGCTCTTCCTATTAATAAGGAATCTTAAGAGCACGCTAGAATATTGAGGAACAAAGACAATGTTAACTGCTAGGCAATATAGATTTATTGGATGCCCAATAACTAAATACCTTGACCCCAATGGGAATTTGTAGTTCTTATTGTCAGAAAACCACTGGTCCTATGGAAAACTAAGTATGAGCTGATTCCCTCCAAATCATGAGGTGTGAGGTGGGGGCAATCGTAGCTGGCTCATTGTCCAAGAAATCCAGAGTGAAATCCTATGATCACTTTTAGACAATTCTGTTTATTGACATATCATTAATCATTATAGATTCCTATCTCAATATGTCAGTAAAATTGCTGTACTGGGACTATATAAACTATTATTCAAATGTAAGTATATAATATACTAATGACAGCTTGAATCACCTTCTACGATAGCTGAAGTAGATCATCATAATCTTAACACCACATTTTTTTTCTATGCATTGATCTATACATGACAACTCTCATTTCCACTGCAATTTCAACATGAGAGAAAAAGTAATGAGACAGAGTAGCTGTGTTCTGGTTAGAGGCGCAGACAAAGCAGTTTCAAGAGACTCTTTACTATCATGGGTAGCAATTAAATGTGCAATGGTCAATATGGTCAGTAATGGGGGAAAAAAGCACATGGTGCCAGATTGAGCCAACCATTGTGTACAACCATTGTAAGAAAGAGAAATTTATCTATGTTTTTCTGATTCATGCATTGGTACACACATTTACAGACCAGAATATAACTCTAGAAATTGGCAGCTATTTTAATGCTTCCAATGGTCTGTTTTTGTTAAATGAAAAAGGTAATGCAAGAATCTATTTTAGTTATTTAAAATAAATTTTCCTCATATGGAAGTTGAATGTTTTACAGCAGGATGGTCTGGGAATGGGCATTTTGCGGCAGTATTGAATTTTCATATGTTATAGTTATGTAGCAAGTGAGTTCATCATGTCAGGAGGGAGTATAAGTTCATCTCCTTATTAGTCTATGTCTGTAATCTATACGACTATTAAAGCTAATATTTCTCTTGACTCTGCAACTAACCCCTGAAGAGAAAAAGTCATCTGGCCAAATCCCAAAACACTCCTGAATGCATTAGGGTAGATTATGAACATGTAGATGAAATACAAGGTTTATGAATCTCCCCTCTGTTGCCTGAACCCCCTTTCCCTTGCCACGCTTCTTTGCTTTTCTGACAGTATTTTATTGGCTATAAATGAAATTCAAACAGTGCCCCAAAACGAAACTCCTTCGCAAAATCTTTCTTGCAGTGAAAATAACTGTATGCACAGTAATTTAATCCTCTTCTTCAAAAATTGATACATATTACAGTAGTCCTCCCTTATCCACGGTTTCATTCTCAGAGTTTTAGTTACCCATGGCCAACTGCAGTTCAAATATATTAAATGGAAAATTCCAGTAAAAACAATTCATAAGTTTTAAATCCTATGCTGCTCTAAGCACGGTGATGAACTCTGGTGTCATCTTGCTCTGTCCCATACAGACCATAAATCATCCCTTTGTTCAGTGTATCCACACTGTACAGGCCACCTGCCTGTTTTCACTTGGTAAGCATCTTGGTTATCAGATCAAAGGAACGTAGTATATATAGGGTTCTCTACTATCCATGGTTTCAGATCCACTGGGGGTCTTGGTATGTATCCCCCACAGATAACAGTTGACTACTGCATTAAAATTAATCCACTATTAGGTAATAAAAACTTGGTGAAGAGGATCATGAGATTTAATTGTCAGGAGACTCCCCTGAAGAAGTGACATTTCAGCTGAAACTTGAATGACACTTAGGTATTGATGTTGGAGAAGAGTAATCTAGCACAATAAAATATAAAGTGGGAAGGTGGAGGTAAGTTTAGCATCAGAAAATGTCTGATGTGGCTTGAATGTGGAATGGACAGTGAATGGGATAAGAAGGTTGACATAGCACAGATCATGGAGAGACTCAGGGACTTGTTTGGATTTAATTCTGAAAGTAACTGGAAGCCATCGGGAGATATAGGCAGTTGAGTGATATAATTTAATTTGTATTTTAAAAGATCACTTTGGCAGGTTTGTAAAGAAAGGATTGTCTGATGGGCATTAATGGAAGCAGAGACCACTCCAGGAACTCTGGAATTAGTTCAATTGATAGCACAAAACAACAGAGAGGTGGTTAGCAGCCATGCAGATGGAGAGAACTGGCCTGAGTTAGGATATTTTGGAGACATACAAAATGATTTTGATACTATTTAGCAGCTGCATAATAGCCCATTATATGAATGCGCCATGACTTATTTAAACATTGGAAGAGGCGCTTTCAAATTTAAGCAATCAAGTGTATTCTGAGATCTACTATTAAGATTCCTGCTTCCCAAATTGTCTTCATTTACATTTACCCAGTAACTATCTATTTAAAACGCATAAGGTGGTACCCTGGCTGTACTAAAGAATAATAAATAGTTCCATTCACCCTTGCTTTTTAAACTATGACCCATTTCAGTTCAGTTTTAATTTTTGAGTAAGAATTAGTATAATATATGAAAAGCATTCTGTATGCAGTTCCAATATATATTCAAGTTACCATAGAATTGAACGTTATCATTTCATGGGATTTTTGTTTTTAGTTTTGAGTAGAACAGGCTTGAAAAAAATATAAGAATACCTGTAGGAATCAGATGATATTTGATAATTGAACAGCTCTTTGGTTTTAATTCAAAATTAAACTCCGAAGAATAAGAATAACTTAAATAAACCAATAAAGTTTGGCTATGCAATTCAGAGCTCAACTTAAAAAGTTACGCATCCAGTAAATTTTTCAGTAGGCTGTTCATTTTTATGCTAATTATTAAGTTTCATTCTATTCATTAAAATGTTAAACTTTATCCTGAGTCACCTAAATCTTCCATGAGCTCTGCATGTAGAAAATAATTTGGCAGATGCTTATTTGGAGGAAATTGCTTACTTCTTAATACAACTTTTTTTTGAGAGAGGAAAATATTAGCAAAAAATTTTTATGTCCCTAAAAATTCAAACATTTTGATCATGAGTAGGAGCATAAACAGAGTGTATCATATACAGTTGGAATAAAACCTTAGATGCATGCAACTCAAATGGAATGAATGATTCCAACTCATATGCTTGTTAGGATTCAATCAACTCTCAGTCATTCACTGAGTTGAGTTACAAGTAGAAGAGAGTGGGTAATGTTAAAGACACACTGCACAATTCTTGTTTATAATATGGCTTTAAAATCTAGTTGGGAAGACAAGACCACATGTTGGTGCTTTTGTGATTTTTGCATGCTGTTCCTTCTGCATGGAATGACTTTCTTTAACTTCGTGGCCACACAGTTGCTAATTATCTTTCAATCTGTCAGTATCACATCTGTGAAGGTTTTCTTTCTACATTAAACAGTTTATAATAATCGTTGTTATGCTTTTTTGGATTCACATGTCTGCATCTCTAAACGAGCGTGTGTTCCTTCAGGAAAATGACTATGTCATGTCCGGAGTGCTTGGTGTAATGTCTTATACAGTGTTGGACCATCATTAATATTGAGTATTGATAATATAAGGCAGTTTGCTGTGAATTCTAAATGTCTAGATCTATCGAGAAGTGTTTAGGGAAATTTGTATCTCTCAAGAGAACAAGATCACCAGGGCCTCTAATCCTGGTATTAGAATTACAATCAGGGCAAATCCTGAACCATTTGAGGCTTGAGAAGAGGGAACAGATGAGGGAGGAAGGATGGGTTGGGGAAGTCTTCAAGAGTTTTTCAACTCTACTAATCTTTGGTTCTACATTTCAAAGTTTGAATTTTAAAATAGCTCTATTACCTATATAACCATTACTTTGTGGTCTAAAAGTAAAACCATAAAATCAGCTTAGCACAACAGAATGTACTGGACTGAGGCATTCACATTCAGTCAATTTTTCACAGTATAACTCAGAAAGAGGTTAAAAAGTTCTCTTTGCTTTTTGAGAACCCATTTTGTAGTTCATTGTTGCAGATTGTCTGATGTTGACTTTCAGAAGTGAACTGAAATGTATGAGAAATCTGGAAATATGGTAAAGACAAGGAATCAAAGCCAAGAAGCAAACAGACACGCAGGGGAGGATATTTACCGCATCGTCTCACTGAGCATACCTGGAAAACTGAGAAGCTGGCTTTTGAATAGTGCATATATAATCAGTTCTTTGGTCTGTAAATTCAGTAATCATGAAACCCCATGAATTAGTATCAACATAGCAGTACATGTCTTCATTAATATTTTGTATCATTACCTCTGTAGCCTCTCTGAGGAATTCAGGGAATTTTATGGGGGAAAAAAAACCTTAAAACTTGAAGCAACTAAAATTTATATAAAAATCATACAGAATGAATGAATAAAGTATATTAAATATACAAGCTCTTTTCTTAGAGACTTAGAATATAAAATGAATACGAACCCACTTTCCCCAATAATTAGCCTTGATACACAAGTAAGCATAAGCACAATATTTTTTCTTGCCAATTTCTACAATGACCCAAAACCTTTAATGAATAAAAAAGATATATCCTAACTAATTAAATAATTATAGTTGACAATAACTTTATTAGGCAAAAAAATCTACTAATTTTCATTGTCTTTTTAAATATTACAGTATTCGGGCATTGTTATATATACATTATAAAATATATATCTAGATATCTAGATATATTCATATATATATATATATATATATATCTTGAGATAATATGAATGTAACATTTCAAATTAAGATATACACCTCTGAAGAGAAAAATGACACTCATCACCATGGGGAAAGATAGTAATAGTAGTTAATCAACAAATGTGTGCTGAATTAAATTGAATGAATGCAGGATCCTCTAAGTGGTTGGTGAAACTGTTCTGGACTCTAAGTTCATTTCCTAAGCTAGATACTCTATAGATGACATATACTGAACAATTTCTATAATGCAACTGCTTCTTCCTAGGTCGTCTTTTTACAGAATGGAGGAAATGGCCTTTTAATTCCACAATCCACTCTGGTAGCTATAATTATATTGTTTCTTTTTATAATGAAGTAGAAAGATATAGTACATTACAAAAAGAATAAATTTATAATCTAACAAACTATGAACT
Source organism: Homo sapiens (assembly GCF_000001405.40). NCBI lineage: Eukaryota > Metazoa > Chordata > Mammalia > Primates > Hominidae > Homo > Homo sapiens. Next base: position 146,520,737 of record NC_000007.14, read on the forward strand.
CTTAAGCAACCAACTCTTAACTGGTGGAATCTGGAAAGCGCTTCTTAAATAAAAAAGAAATTCTATCCTGGATGTCTCCAGAAATGAGTTGTGTTACTCTAGCGCCCTCCTACATTAATGTAAAAAGTAGACAATGCTGAGCTCCGCAGTTTTTGTGCAGTTTCCAGCTTTCAAAGTACCAGATAGAACTCTGACTCCAACACTTTCCATCCTTATATTCCCCAAAATGTATATGGCATTTTAATTATCCTTCAAAAATCTTGACTTTTCTGACCCTTCATCTCTTCTTAGTAGAGGAACAAGAGTTCAGGAACAAGTGTGGAGATGGGGGTGGGGTCAAAGGGAAAGAAATGCAAACCAGACTCTTACCCAATGATTACTTCTTAAATAATATGGTCTGTAACAGAGGTTGCCAAGCCTTTCCTATATAGAACCAAAGAGTAAATATTTTAAGCTCTTTAGGATATAAAGTCTCTGTCACAACTACTCAACTCTGCTAATGTATCATAAGAGCAGACACACACAATACATAAATGAATGAATGTGGCTGTGTTTCCATAAAACTTTACTTACTAAACAGGTGGTAGTCTGAATTTGGTCTGCAGGATATAGTTTGCTGACCATGGTTTATAGCATAATCTTTGAGTATAGCATACAAAATATCATTCAGCCGATTTTTTTGTACCAGAAATTTCCAAAATCAACTGAATAATTTACTTTTTTTTCCCTTAAATTACTCTACAGTAATCTCTGTGGAAGAAGGTGAACTGCATTTACAATTGCTTGAAATAGTGAGAAAAGTTACAAAAAGAAACTACAAATACAAAACAGGCAATATCTGATAAAATAAATACACTCTGTCACTATGTTAAACACCAGAATTTTTGTATTTCTATAGAGAACACCCCAACTATCAGACCTTTTTGAAGCATTATTCGCATTTACATTCAACAAATATTTAACCTAATCCTTATAATCATCCACCATTTTTCAAACTTTGGAAATCCAGATTTAGAAAGATAAAGCAGACCTCTTAAATAGGAAGTGGCAAATCTAAGATCTGAACCTTGATCATCTGCTTCCAAATCCTGGGCTGGTTAAGAAAAATATTAGATTTAAAAAAATCTAAAATACATTCAAAGGCTTTAATTCCGCCTAGTGTTTTTCAGTGCCAGATAATTTTGTAACAGGCAATTCTCAGTAATTGTAAAACACACAAATGATGACTTTCACTGTTTTTAGTAATAAGAGTAAATCAATGCAATTCTCAGTCATTTTGCTTAATGGAGCACATTGAAAAACAAAAGAGCTATACTCCCTGTTTTTTTCTAATATTTTCTGATGAATTTCAATAGCTAGACTCTCACCATACTTTAAAGATCGTCATTCTTCCTTAAAAGCAAAAGGCAATTTAATGAGATACTTGCAGTAGATAAAGTTGCCGTATTTGATGTTTCCATGTTTTATTTTCTGGGAGATGACACAGAACAATGTTGTCTGAGATTGTGAATTTCCATACAGAGGGATCATTGAAGCACCCGTCGTTCATAAAACACTCTGTCATGCTGGAGACAAAACTATCAAATTTTATTAAAACTTAGTTATCTCAAGTCAAGCTTTACATTTCCAAATAGAAATAGTGAACTGCAATGTGTCAGAACTCTAAATTTCATTACCACAGCAGGTGTCATTATTTGGCACATAGGACTAGGGTTTGTGATAACTACATCATACAACTCCAAAGGAAATAGCAGAAATGTTCTTTGAAAGCACTCTTCTATGTCTAAGATAATACCATTTTTGAGCAGTCCAGCCTAAGAATGAAAAAATATATATAGAAATACTGAGGTAAAGGCCATGATGATTTTCATATTACCCACAATTAAAGTTTGAAATTCCAGGAAAGCATTTTTAGATATTATAGTATCAGGAAAATATAAGGAAAGAAAATTAGCTCAAGATTTCCAATCTGACTTTGTGCTAGCAAATAATGTTATGCAAAATAATATCTATTATTAATATATAATAATATCTATTATGTTTTAAAAAATAAAATAATATCTATTATAATTATAATCCCATAATTTTTTCTTATCTCTGGTAAAATATCTGCTCTTTATGTTATCTCAAGTCAAATTATACAGTTTAGAAATGAGTGAGAGATACTTGGAATCATCTTTCCTCATTCATAGGCATCTCAAGGAAGAAATCATAATAGAATGATATCTATTATTTTATTTTGTAGTGTTTATTTTTATTTTATAAAATTTTTCCATAATTTATTGGGGTACCGGTAGTATTTGCTTACATGAGTAAGTTCTTTAGTGGTGGTTTGTGGGATCCTGGCGCACCCATCACCTGAGCAGTATATACTGCACCATCTGTGTTGTCCTTTATCCCTTGCTCCCTTCCCACGCTTTCCCCCAAGTCCCCAAAGTCCATTGGTTCATTCTTATGCTTTTTTGTCCTCATAGCTTAGATAGAATAGCCAGATATAAATTTAGATGGCTAAACATTTATATATCATCAGTAAAATTTCGGTCCAATTCTCATTTCTAAAAATTTTGGTACTAGAGAGCACTCTACTTTTATGATTAAAAATTTTAAGAATCTTCCTTTAAGACAAAATATGACTCCTTTTAATTTTTCTCCCTGGATCCAATATCCCCTTATTGTATAAAAGAGTGTCCATTTCCTTCTCATGGACAACCTTTAAAATATTTAAATAAAACTAATTTTAACCGCCACCAACCCTCAATCATATCATGTCCAAAATAACCTTTCCAACCTCCTTAATCTATTTTTTTTTACAATAAGGTTTATTATTTCCTTTTATCAGTGCAGTTTTGGATGTGCACCATTTAAAAAATAAGGTCTTTCTTTAAAAATGCTCATAAAGTAAATAGAATAATACAAATATAGTGTCAGGAAGGCAAATTGTTTCTAATACGTCTTTTGACCTAAATGGTGAATGCCTATTGTTAAAGCTTCAGATTATTAAAGTTTCAACAGCAACCCTGTCGAACTATTGGCTAATTCCGATAATTTTCAATTAAATCACCAACATTATTTGTTTTTAATTTGAGTTATTATCCAGCCACCAGTCTAATTGATTTCATATTTGTGCAACTGATTTTCTAATAGAAATATAGTACTTTGTTGTTTTCTTTTTCTATTACATTTAATTTTCCTTGTTCCTGTGCCTTTATTCAAGTTGCTGATAAAAACTCTAATCTGAAAAGTCCGAGCAAAACTCTGTGGCACATTCCCAGTAAGCTAAATTCCAGATGGGCATCAAGCATTAATCAATATCCCAGGGCATACTATTAAACCTGTTAAAACTCTACCAAACTTTTTGCCATTCTGCTCACAAGAGTATCATGCGAGTTTGTCAAATGCCTAGTTGAAACATAGACTCACTATGTCGATGGCCCATATGAGGCCCATAAAGAAAATTCAGAGCTCTTAAAAAGTTGCTATGAATCTGTAATCCCATAATTTTTCCTTATCTCTGGTAAAATATCTGCTCTTTATCTTACCTCAAGTCGTACCAGAGAGTTTAGAAATGGGTGAGAGACATCGGGGATCATCATTCCTCATTCATAGGAGTCTCAGGGTAGAAATCATAATGACCATATTTCATTTTTTTTTCTATGTCTGTGCCCTTGTGTGATAGTAGCATAGTTGCTTGACAGCATATTGAAGAGTCTTCATTACTCACTGCCATTTTCTTTCATGTCCTAGAAGTGAAAAAATGTTGTTTGGTTCCAGTTGACCACGATTGTATCTGATCTTTTCTTCTGTTTTATTTGTTTGTTTCCTAACAGTTTATGTTTCTCAACATAAAATACTATCGTCGTCATGCCAGACTGCTCTCTAGGATCACCTTGTTTTCTCACCACAATGCCTTAGAAGGGAGCAGAGAGCTCAGGGTGTCACTAGTCAGCTTATATCTCATCTCATGTTATTTGAACAATAGGACTCTTTAGGAGATATAAGAACATTATAAATACAAGGTGCAAAATGTATGTAATTATGACACCTTTTTAAAGTAAACCATAGCAAATCACATGAAATAGTGCTTTCTTGATACAATATTATTATCGTTTCTTCTACAAACATTATTTCAGTTAAGGAGAGTGTGCAAGGGCTCTCCTGGCTACCTGAGCAAGCATTTGAAAGATTCATTATATTTCCTAGGGTTAAAAACTATTTTCCTGGAGTTTCTAAAAATGAGAGCCTGCCATAAAATTGTGAAGTTTCATGGGAAAAGCAAAGTAACTTTTAAACAACTGAAATTTTTAACTATTTTCTAGAATAAAAAGTATAGAAGGTCAGTGGATCACAGCTATTGTTTTAGCTGAAAAAAAAACGGAATAAGTTGATCATGGTTAGGTAGATTATAATTTTATTATTACTTGGTAAAATTGAATTGTTTGGGCCCTGGTAATCCTCGGCTATTTGTGTGTATAGATTAAAGCTCCTGGTTCTCACTTAACCAAACTGAAAAGCACTAATTGTCAGAGAAAGAAATGAAGTTTTTTTCTAGTGACTTGTTTTCGAAACAACGCCACTTACATATTTTCATGTTGTCACATTTACATCTGAGAATTATTGGTGGAAAACACAAATGGCATAACTATTAAAAATGGGTTTCTAATCATAATTCAACATGACTTTGCATCAAATAGAAATACCAAATTGAGAAAAGGAAATGAGTGTTTGACTAAATAAATGTAATGAAATGGTAGTAAAAGAGTCAAAAATTATTCTTTGCATTTTCTGTCTTTTCAGTTTATCTATCTATCTATCTATCTATCTATCTATCTATCTATCTATCTCTCTATCTATCATCTATCTATCATCTTGATGTATTGATTCATTGATTGTGGTAGGCATGAGCTTATTATGTAAAATAAGATATGTGCTTCAGTGACACTGTTTTTGCCAAGAGGTGTTGCTTTGAGGCCTTCCATAGCAGCTTCCTGGGCATCTGGGCATTGATGGGCTTGCGAATGAGCTGAGTTGGCAGCTGCGGCACTACTGGTTGTAGTCTTGCTAGTATGCTTTCAACTGTATCCCCTTGGGATATCAGCTCCCTTACCTCATCAGTGCAGCTCTCACCCATGATAATGTTTGTCATAAATGTGACACAAATCCAGTCCCCATGCTGTATCTGCTTATGTTAGCCAATGGAGCCACACAGTGGATTAGAATAACGCACAAGGACACTGGAGGAAGTTGTTCATAAGAGACAAAGAGAGCATATACAGACAGTGGACATGAAACATTTAATTGAGTGAAGCTTTTTTTTCTGATTTGAAAATAAATATATGTTAGGGTAAAAAAACCAAGCCTGTAAAGGAAAACAGAAAAATTGGAGTTAATAAAGGGACCCACAGCTTCACTACTCAAAGAAAACTATCGCTAAAATTTGGGTTGCATGTAACTCTTTCTAATGTGCATATATGTGTATGAACAACATATTTGATGATGTGCAGTACTTTATTTAAACTTTTGCCTGGTACATTAGGCCATTCTTGCATTGCTATAGGAAATTCCTAAGATCGAGTAATTTATAAGGAAATGTTTAATTTGCACACAGTTCTTCATGCTTTACAGGAAGTGTGGTGCTGATATCTGCTAGGCTTCTAGGGAGGACTCAGGAAGTTTACATTTATGGTGGAAGGTGAAGGAAGGGCAGATGTGTCACATGGCAGAAGCAGGAGCAAGAGTGAGAGTGAGGACGTGCCACACACATTTCAATGACTAGATCTTGTGAGAACTCACTGTCACAAGGACAGCACCAAGGGGATGGTGCTCAACCATTCCTGAGAAATCCTCCCCCATGATCCAGTGACCTCCCTCCAGGCCCCACCTCCAACACTGAGGATTACAATTCAACATGAGATTTGAGTGGGGATGTACATTCAAACTGTGTCACCTACTATTGTCTGTTTCGTTCATTCCAATTGTTTGATCTGATAAATAATTCTATAGAAGACAGTGTAGGCTGAATTGTTCAAACATTTTGCCATATTTCAAGTTAAGTTCCCAGAAGTTGGGTTTATTAAAATTTAAATATTTTAAGACTCATTACATATATACACAAACTACATGATAAAAGAGTTATGTCAGTTTACGTTGTGACCATGATACAGTGGATTTAAAACTTTTTATTACATTTCTTTTTCTTTAGTAGAGATGAAGTTTTACTATATTGCCCAGGCTGGTCTCAAATTCCTAGGCTCAGTCAGTTCTCCCGCCTCGGCCTCCCAAAGTGCTGGGATTACAGGCCACCCTGCCTAGCCATGATATGATAGTCTTATAATAAAAAATCCCTCTCACATTTTTTTTAGAAAAAAAAATCCCTCCTCTTCTTTACAAAATATGTAATGATTTGCCTTTATTTTACTTGTCCAATTTCTAACACAGTCCCTATTAAGTTAGAAAGCTCCACAATTGGAATCACATAATAAATAATATTAACTAAATGGCTTAAAATAACACAAGGAACCCCAAGAAGAGAGCTTAGATTTTATGTAAGTATTCAGTAGTCACCTACTTGTATTCCACTAAATTGTGAACTCCAAAAACAGTGTTTTTTATTTAAAGATAAATTTTTATTCAATACCTGTTTTGTATTAGGCATTTTCTCATTTTTTGAGAATGCAAAGGAAAGCAAGATAGAGGATTTCAGCTACTATGCATGAGACAGCAAGGCAAGGGGACCAGTTGAATATCAGGCTCAATGTCATATGTCTGGAATTTATCTTTACACAGATGGTATTTGTAAGGGTATATATAGACCAAAAATAAGGTGAGCTTGGAAATTGATGATTTCACATTAATTTTCTGCATGTCACATTTGAGGAATGGATTTTACTTTAAGAATAAATAATCTCTTGACAGCCTATGCATCAGAATCCATGTAGGAAATAGTGAATTAGTCATAGTTCAAAGTTGATCATCTATTTATTTGGATGTTAATATTAAATCATAAAAATACAATATTCGACAAGTGGATAATGTTATTGCTGGGATGCTTGAACAAAATGTTCAATTATTTTAAATGTTATCAAATCATTTAAAATTGAAATTTGGAAGTTTTATTTCCACAGGAGTAAAACTGAATCATTTAATGTGACAATGTCCAGGACAGAGTTTCTTAATCAAAACCCTCGTTAGAGAAATTTAACTCCTTATATTACATTTTACGGCTTTTGTTTTAATTTTATCTACCACTATAGTCAATGATAAAATGTGAATAAATAGAAAGAAAAATATTGTCATTTTATTGTCTTCTTTCTATTGATATAATTACCAGAGTCTTCTCAAAGAGGGCATTAAAAACTCTCTTAGGGCACTGAAAGTCCTTTTTACTCGGTTTGAGGTTTCTTAAAAGGAGTAAATGAAAAAGTAGGGTAGTGGCTTAGAGAAATCCACCCTGGAGAAGACATGAACAGAAAAATAATTACTTATAAATGGGACAAGTTGATGTAAAATTTGTAAAGATGGGTTGGAGAGTTTTGGCAAAAATGTGAGCTCTGGAGGAAGCCTGTTGGGTTCAATTCCTGTTCTGTGCACTGTTCTTTCTTTTATATTGTTAGTTTTCTCAACTGCAAAGCAGTGTAACACAGTCGCTATGATTGCTATGAAGGTTAAATGAAATAAGACGTGAAGACCATTTAGCATACAGTCCAACAAATACAATTGAGATTTATAGGCTCAGAAGTTACCATTAGTAATATTCAAGCACCTGGAAATCTCACACTTAATATTAAGAACAAATAATGAAATAGGCCTAAAGACTAAGATGAGTTATAATTGTATTATACTTAGTGCAATAAATTAGACAAACCAGGAATAGAGAGATTGTTTTACTCTTCAAAGCCTTAGAAAGCTATGGCTGTCACAGAAGCTGTTGAAATTAGTGAGGATATTATATGTCAGTGGGTAGGAGAGGAAATGAAATAAGACTGGCCACATAGTCATCAATGGTGTTTAGAGTAGCCACATTGTTTCATAAGAACATTCTTGTCAACATATGAGAACTGGAGGGTGAAGATTAAAAAAAGAGAGAGAGACAGTGATATGCAGGATGAGCTCAGTTACACCGAATGCTGACTTTATCACACTGCAGTTACAGAAAAGGAAGAAAAGGCCTTAGTTAAAATATAAATAATATATCAAGAAAGCGGAAGCAAGGTTCAGTGAAATAAAACACAAAAATCTAAGAAAAGATTAAAGGGAAGTATCTTGATATTGTGTATTTTTGAAAGGGCTGGGACAAAATGCATTTTGGTGTACACTGTAAAGAAAGATAATGCTAAAATCATAGACTAAATAAATACATATGAAAGTAAATTTACACAGAAAATTAGAAGTATATTTTTTGTTTGTTTTCTTATGCATTTTTTATATGGACCAGCACAGTCTATAGCATGTGGTCCCACTTATGAGAAACTTCGTGTTTATTTGTTCAATATAAATGTTTTCAATTTTTTTGTATGTTAACAAAGAAAAAATATATGAAAGTAAAAGGAAGAAAAGAAATTACTCAACATAAATTGGGAGATGATTTTTTGTCTCTCTGTGAAGCAGATAAAATGGTCAGTATATAACTTCAGTCTCTGTGTCCAGAGCAGGGGTTCCTAACATGAGGTCAATACTCTTGAGATTAAAATATTTGGTGTATGAGATGATACTCTAGGGTGATAATTCAGAGCTTTCATCTGATTCTCAAGAACATTGATGATCCCTTTCCTTAAAGCTCAGAAACAAGCGATCGGGAGAAAGATAAGTAAATGTGACTAATGCATACATGAGGCATGCCATTTGTATTTATGGATTAGCTTTTAGTGGTAATGGTTTAGAGGAAAGCAGTGCTAAGCTCACATGGGCAGGAAAGCAGGCAGCATACTGAACTGGCTAATATTAAAATGTAGGGCCGGGTGCGGTGGCTCATGTCTGTAATCCCAGCACTTTGGGAGTCTGAGGCGGGCAGTTCACGAGATCAAGAGATTGAGACCATCCTGGCCAACATGGTGAAACCCCGTCTCTACTAAAAATACAAAAACTAGCTGGGCATAGTAGCACGTGCCTGTAATCCCAGCTACTCAGGAGGCTGAGGCAGGAGAATTTCTTGAACCCAGGAGGCAGAGGTTGCAGTGAGCCGAGATCGTGCCACTGCACTCTAGCCTGGTGACAGAATGAGACTCCGTCTCAAAACAACAACAACAACAACAACAACAACAACAAATCAGATACAAAGGCATTTCTCTGCAAAAGGGGAAATTCCTCTTGTAAAACAAAAGGAAACTTTATAATGTACTAAAAAATATGGCAAAGTGACAGATAAAGAAAGTTGTCTTCCAAAATAAGCAATGGGGAAAGGACTCCCTATTCAATAAATGGTGCTGGGATAACTGGCTAGCCATATGCAGAAAATTGAAACTAGACCCTTTCATTTCCCCTTATTAAAAAATCAACTCAAGATGGATTAAAGATGTAAATGTAAAATCTAATACTATAAAAGCCCTGGAAGATAACCTAGGAGATACCATTCTGGACATAGGACCTGGCAAAGATTTCATGATGGTGACATCAAAAGCAATGACAGCAAAAACAAAAATGGACAAATTGGACCTAATTAAACTAAAGATCTTTTATTCAGGGGAAAAAAAAAGAGCAAAGTAAACAGACAATCTACAGAATGGGAGAAAATAGTTACAAACTGTGCATCCAACAGCAGTCTAATATCCGTAATCTATAAGGGGCTTAAACAAGTTTACAGGCAAAAAACAACCTCATTAAAAAGTGGGCAAAAGACATGAACAGAATTTTCCAAAGAAGGCATACACGTGGCCAAAAGGCAAATGAAAAATGCTGAACATCACTAATCATTAAAGAAATGCAAATCAAAACTACAATGAGATACCATCTCACATCAGTCAGAATGGCTATTATTAAAAAGTCAAAAAATAACAGATGCTGGTGAGGTTGTAGAGAAAAGGGAATGCTTATACACTGCTAGTGGGAATGCAAATTAGTTCAGCTACTGTAGAAAGTAGTTTGACGGTTTCTCAAAAATTTCAAAACAGAATTACCGTTCCATCCAGCAATTCCATTATTGCATGTATACCCAAAGGAATATAAGTCATTCTACCATAAAGGCACACGCACACATATGTGCGTCACACCACTATTCACACTAGCAAAGACATGGAATCAACCTAAATGCCCATCAGCAGTGGACTGGATAAAGAAAATGTGGTACACATTTTATACACCGTGGAATACTGTGCATTCACAAAAAGGAATGATCATGTCCTTTGGAGCAACAAGCTAGAGGCCATTGTCCTAAGCGAATTGACACAGGAACACAAAACCAAATACCACATGTTCTCACTTGTCAGTGGGAGCTAAACATTGAGTACATATGAGCACAAAAAAGGGAATGACAGAGACTGGGGGCTACTTGAGGATGGAGGGAGGGAGGAGCATAAGGATTTAAAAACTACCTATTTAGGACTATGCTTATTACCTGATTGACAAAATAATCTATACACCAAACCCCTGCGAACAAACAATTTACATATGTAACAAACCTGTACATGTTCCCCTGAACCTAAAATAAAAGTTAAAAAATAAAGCTGTCTTCCAAAGGAAACCTATGGAAGTTCTATACAAAGGCAAAGCATATATGAAATATATGGTCTTCTAAATATTCATGTTAAGATAATCAGTAAATGCCTGGAAGACATAGATTGGCTTAGAATGTTATAAAAATGCTAATAATTTATAGCTTTTGTTTTGTTTTGTATTGAGGCGGAGTCTCGCTCAGTTGCCCAGGCTGGAGTGCAATGGCATGATCAAGGCTGACTGCAACCTCCGCCTCCCAGGTTCAAGTGATTCTCCTGCCTCAGCCTCCCAAGTAGCGGGATTACAGGCACACACCCCCACGCCCAGCTAATTTTTGTATTTTTAGTAGAGACAGGTTTTCACCATGTTGGCCAGGCTGGTTTCGAACTCCTGACCTCAGATGATCCACCCGCTTCAGCCTCCCAAAGTGCTGGGATTAGAGGCATGAGCCACCATGCCGGCCCTATAGCTTGTTTAAACAACATAAACTTCTTGAGCACATGGGGGAAAGTACGTATGAAGAAGCAGAAAGAGCACTATTTAGTTACTGAAGTGAAAAATAATGAAATATCTTGGAATCAACTTGAACAAGATAGGGGGAGGTATGTTGAGAAAGTATTGGCAGTTTCCATTAAAAAAAGAAAAATAAAAATTACAATCTTGGCGATAAAGAGCTGGAACTAGGGAAAAATATTTTTAAAATTTAAAGAAGTAATACAATATTTACAATTCAAAAAAGTGAATATTTACAATGAGGAGAGAAATGAAAATAAATTATACTTTGATTCCTTCTTAACATGACAACAAAATCTCAAGATTTTCAAATGAGAAAATAGGTAATTTAGGCTTTTTTTGCATGGTTCTTCAGAATTTATGATTGTAGTATTCTACAGAATATGCTCTCAAAATACAGGGATTTCAATAAATTCCATATTGCATGATTATTATAAAAATATGGAAAAGTGTGTTGATGGGGGATGCTAAAGTTCTCTGCTTATAATTTTATGCAGCTTATTATTAGATTTATCCACAGACTAGCTTCAGGCTCTGAACATTTCTAACTTTTTTTTCTTTCCTTCCCACTTTCTTCTGAAACTTGGAGTGTTATTGTATAGGACACAATTTTATGTGATATGACTCTCAGAATATGACATCTAGCCTCACAACCTTATGTCACAACATGGGGTCTGTTGGCACAACATTCTGTAAGCGTATATTTGGAACTCATTTCTATATCAAAATAGCTAACAATAGCTTAATTCTATATGGAAGTAACTGCAAACAATTTAACTTCCTCTTACTAACCGAAACTAAATGTACCCCCACTTAACATTTTGTTACTCAGACTCTAGAAATATTATCAGACACTCCACCACCACTTGACACAAGGAAAAGGTCATAGAGGGAATTAAGAGCAGAATTGGCCAGGCGTGGTGGATCAGGCCTGTAATCCCAGCACTTTGGGAGGCCGAGGCGGGCGGATCACAAGGTCAGGAGTTCGAGACCAGCCTGACCAATGTGCTGAAACCCCATCTCTACTAAAAAATAAAAATAAATAAAAATAAAAATAAATTAGACAAGTATGGTGGTGTGTGCCTGTAATCCCAGCTACTCAGGAGGCTGAGGGAGGAGAATTGCTTGAACCCGGGAGGCAGAGGTTGCAGTGAGCAGAGATCGCACCACTGCACTCCAGCTTAGGCGACTGAGGGAGAGGGAGACCCTGTCTCAAAAAAAAAAAAAAAAAAAAAAAAAAAAGCTGAATCATACAGCCCTCTGAATCAGTTGCACTTTTCTAGAAATTTTGCAAAAATTTTATGAAAAACAAATGACCAAGTGAACACCTAGTTTCATACCCAGGACTTTAAAGGTGGTCTATGCAAGTGGGAAATTTGAAGCTCAAACATTGTATATGCCCACATAAATCTACCTATAGGCTAATGTCTATTTGTGGATAAGGGAATTTAGAAAGACTATCCAAAAAGTTAACCATATTATAGAAAAGATGAAGATAAAGCAACCAAGGGAAAAACACTGGAAATATAAACATTATGAGATGTAAAGAAACTTTATTTTAACATTAGTCAATATGTCCACTTGTGTATTGCTGAAGGGAGAACTAGAGTCTTAAAGAAAAAGTGATTGTTCCTGATAGAACAATAATTTATTGCAAAGTACACAGTCTTATAAACACTACCCTTTGCTGGAACATGATAAGATTTGTGTTCATGGTTCTTCATATTCACTCTTGCTCCAGAGTCAATCTTGAAATAAAAATAAGATAATTCCAGTTCATTTTCAGAGTCCTCTCAGTCCATCTGTGTCATTTCCCTGTCCCTGACCCCATCTCTGGATCCCATTGCTGTTATGATTCCAAGTGGATGGGAGACCATCTTCTTGGCTTTATGTTGGGCAAGTTTGCATGTAATATTCAGTTTTGTTTGCTCTCTCTCTACTCTGTTTCAACCCAAGATTGCAAGCTGTATTTCTTAACAATTATTTATTAATTATAGATAAAATACTAGATGTTATTGGCAATAACATAAGAGTAACATAAATATTAAAGTTAAGTTAGAAAAGCATTGAATTAAAAATAGTCTATGTAAAATTCCAATCTTGTTAGGAAAATCAGGCCTAAAACAAAGTTCTACAAATGAGTCCTCTGTCATTTTAGATGGTATAAGTTAATTTATAATGGAAGTTTGCATTTTATCAGAGGATAATCAAATGACTGACTTGCTGCATTTGAAAGCCTTCTGATACTAAAACAGTCTGTATAGGAGAAAAATGGGGGAAAGAAGGACTTCCTGGTGAGAGTAAAAATATAGAATTCAAGCCTACAAATAAAATTGAACTTGATTTTTTTCTGTGGATACTTTCTCGTATTCTGGGTTAATTTTCTTTATAATATTTTGAAAGGAAGTAAAATATGCAGAGTGCCAAAGACAGCAACAGAAACCTCCCATACTCCTGAGGCTTTAGGAACACCTGTCATGAAAGTGGGTTTGGCTGACGTAGGAATAACAGTGATACAATATGAGTGCCTTTTATTTTTGACAGTCTCTGCGTTTATCAATTGCAAATGTACGGTGTATACAGCCAGCAATTTGTCAAAGAGTGTTGTAGAAATATGTCTGACCCACATAAAAAGACCCTATGCGTAGAAAAGTTTTGTTTATCTGAACTGTATGCTCAGTAATCTAACGGGGAAATAAGAACAACAGGTTTCTAATCTTTCTTGGCCACTGAGAAAAGGGGCTTCATATGTTGTAAAATGCAGTTACATGCTATCTAAAGTAATAATAAAGATTGTTTTCAGTCCTACTCTTAACTTCCTACAATTTAGACATTACCAGTAGAATTCTTTTCTAAAGTTCCTACGAAGTCAATACCTCCTGTCTGTCTATTGCATGCTTTACACTCAGGACTAGAGTCTAAATCCAAGCTGAGCAATTTATTGCCATTATGATTTTAGGCAATTAGAATTAAGGTTTTCTTCCATAGCTCATAAACAAAAATAGTATCACTTAATGATTAGGCATAAAATTGCTGAGATGTAATATAAGAGAAATATTTTGCATGCATCCTAAAATTCTATAGTTAATGTACACACACGCTCATACACAATTAGGCGTGCCATGTCCATCTTTTCTAATAAAATGTAGTTTTAATTTTTAAAAATGATACAATGTACTTTACCTAACATGTATATTTTATATATATATTATATATATATGATATATATCATATATAATATATTATATTATATCATATATAATATATTATATTATATCATATATCATATATATGATATTATATCATATATCATATATATGATATTATATCATATATATTATATCATATATCATATATATGATATTATATCATATATATTATATATTATATTATATAATGTATATTATATATGATATTATATCATATATATTATATATTATATAATGCATATTATATATGATATTATATAATGTATATTATATATGATATAATATATGATATATATATTATATATGATATAATATATGATATATATATTATATACATGGTCATGGTAGGTTTTCACGACAGGCATGACACTCAAATCTCTTAAAATAATTTTTACTTCTTTTTAAGTAATCAATCAACATTTGTTTATTTAAACTTTAAACTTTCTAATTCGTATTTTTTAAATTAATTGTAATTGACAATTGTATAAATTTATGGGTTGCAATGTGATTTTTTTCAACTTTTGTTTTAGATACAAGGGCTACATATTCATGTTTGTTACAAGAGTATATCGTGTGATGCTGAGGTTTGGGGTACAATTGAACCTTTCATCCAGGTAGTGAGTATGGTACCCAAAGGATACTTTTCTAACCCTTTCCCCCTCCCTTGCTGTCCCCACTTGTAGTTCCCATTGTCTATTGTTCCCGTATTTATGTCCAAAAAGTATGTGTTAAAAAACGGTTCATCTCACATTGACTGTATTCCCTACTTTATGATCATTCAGTGTAGATGGATGGAGTTTCCTTGATGGTGGCATTTAATTATGCTTACAAAGAAATGTGATGAAAATTCAGGTTAAAAGAGAAAATATATGAAAGGAATTTTCTTCATCAGGAACTTCAGCAAGGTAAGTATTGTGCTGCAACAGCATGCAATCATCCAATATCCACGTTTATTTTCTCCTTTCTCCCTCATTCTACAATAATGAGAAAAAAGCAGACACATGTGATTCCTAATCCAATTTAAAGTTTTGCCACCTGATGGTAGATTGTTATTTTTGAACCACATTTAGCAAAGGACAGCAAATTGCACTCAGAATTACACAATATTCACTGGAATCTGTATCTTTCATTCTAAGTCGTTTTTCTTTCTGCAATTGTTCACTTGTTAGAAGCAATATCTGCCACTACTTATATACATAGAAGAGAGCAGCTGAGAGTAAGCATTAGTTCCACATCATTAATATGAGTATTAATAATAATAAAGGAAACCCTTTCCAAATGGGGATTTATGTTTGAGAATTCAGTATTTTAGTCCAAAGGAAGAAAAACAGGAAAGTTTTTGGGCAGGCTTTTCTCTACATTTTTAATGATGCATTGGGGGAGGGTGAGGCAATAAGAGACACAGAGAAGCAGGTGGAAGGGAAGTAAGGAGGGATGAGAAAAGCAGAGTACTGACTGTTGACTGCTCACTGCTGCCTCCCCCATGTTCCCCCCCCACCACCATTTTTAAAGACTCATCATTTGTAGCTTTATGGAAAAGAAACTAATGCATCTAGAGCAGAAAAAAATAAATAATGTACTTGTATCACTTGTTTATTGCTGTGTGATAAAACACTCCAAGACATCTCTAGTCACGTTGCGTGAAGGGTCAAGGACACACAGGGTCACATTCATTAGACGCTGTGATTGTGAAAACGTACCACAGATAATATATTTCCCCAAAATATTAATAAATGCAAAAGAGAATCATCAATATTTTTAATTTGAGAAAACTCTGTATTTGCAAATAGTTCAAAAGCATATTTTAATCAAATAATTATACTAGAACTTAACCATTAAAATAATCCCAAATATGAAATTAGCTGTTTTTCAATAGTGAATCTTGTGTAAGGTAGAAAGACATTTATATTTGAACGGTTAAAATTATTACCACAAGTCCCCTAATGTTTCATAACCTAAGGCATGGATTTGGGGAGAAAATCAACAATTTATAGTGCTAGGCAAGCCAACAATGATACAGTAGTAAGTTTTGATAGATAAGAAATTTTGTTGGATTCTGAAATATACATGACAATATCTGTATCCTATCAACTTTATGAATGTGTCCTATTTGGAGGGAGAAAAGGTATTTAGGAGATAAATCTGACACAGAATTACTGTCTATTATTATAAATGTTAAATTAAAAAAAGTTTTCAAAATAAGTATCTGAGAAAAATGAAATTAATGCCTATTTTAAAACATTAAAATACCTACATTTTAATCTCCTAAACATATAATTTCTTTCTTTATTCTGGCAACATCCTTATTTACTTACTAAGTTTGTATCAATGTTAAAGCCTTCAATTAAAAAAAAGTAAAATTGTAAAAAGAGCCTGTCATCATGCGAGTCACAGTCTAGTAGAGTCAGGAAAGTAAATTAGTAAAATATGTCACGTCAGATGGTGAACGCCAAGGAGACAACACAAGAAAGGGAGGTGGGAAGCTCTTCTGGTGGGGAGGCCTTGCGATTTTAAGTTGGGTGGTATGGGAAGATGTCACTGAGTAGATGGTATTTAAATAAAGGACTAAACAACTGAAAAACTAAGCCTTATTGTTCCCTGGGACAGTGAGCATTTCAGGCAGAGTTGGAAGAGCAAATGCAAGTAAGTGCCTGAGGTAGGCATTCATTGGCCAGGTTTGAGCTATAACAGGCCAGTAAGACTTGGGTTGAGTTACGTGGGGGATATTAGCAGCAGATGACACTGGGGAGAGAGCAGGCATAGAGGTAGGTAGATTGAATGAAACTACAATGGCTAGGTAAGTCTTTATAAGAATTTTGGCTGTCATGTGATTGATGTGAGACGCTATGGAAGGGATTTGAACACAGGAATAACATAATCTGATTTACATTTGAAAAGGATTATTCTAGTACTATATTGAAAATAGATGGTGAGTCAGAAAAGAAAGGAAGAAATATCCAAGCCAGTTAGGAGGCTATTAGAGTAATCATATGAGAGACCATGGTAGCCTATGCCACAGTAATCGCAACAAAGGTGATGAGAAGTAATCTGGTTTTGGAAATATTTACAAGGTTTGGAAGGAAGAGCTAATAGGATTATCCAGTATCTTGGATATGGGCTATATTAATCAACTTTAATTTATGTGGCCATGACAAACAACCTCAAGTCTTTCCCCAAATGTCAGTAATTTACAACAATGAGCATTGATTTCTTGCTCAAGTTACATAAAGCAGCTGTGGGTCTGGCTCTGCTCACCTGAAGGTCAGCCTGGAGCTGCTTGACTTGTGCTCATGTTTACCATGCATCCTAGAATCCAGGCTGTAGGAGCAGTTTCTATCACATAAATGCTCTATTCATGGCACAGGGAGGGGTGCCATAGCCACAGTGGGCAATCTTCTTAAAAGTCCTGTGGAGTTAAGGCATAAGTCACACCTGGTTACATTCTGCTGCCCCAAGCAATGTGGCCAAGCCCATGTGGCTGGGTGGGGACAAACACTTCTCCTACGGGAGGTCTCTCAGGTCTCTTTATCTGACAGAGAAGGGAGCAAGCATTTGGCAAGCACAACACAATCTTCAACATTGCAGACAACAGAAATCAAGGCTTTTCTCCTAACAAACTAGAAAAATGAAGTCACTGTCCACCGAGATGGGAAAGACAACAGGTAGAATAAGTTTAAAAGCAGACAAAAAATTGATGATAATATGAAACTGTGATGTGATATTGGAATTATTTTAAACATTATCATAAAAATTTATTATAAAATGTAGAAAATCTAAGTTATCAAAAGTCTGATCAGTTGTACAAGTGACATGAAATAAGGTACTAGGTCATTTTCATTTGAAGTGAAATAACCACCCAATTCAGAACAATTAACAGGGGGTAATGAAAATACCTGTATTCATACACGTAGCCCATTTTAAAGTCATATAATTATTATTCACAGATCATCAGCTACATTTAAGGGATGGTGATATTCAAGCTGTCTTGTATTTCACATCTCTAAGTGTCATAAATATTTCCCTTTACTATAGAAAAAGCAAACCAGTATCAAATCGACACAGAATGATTATCAACGTATATATCCCTTGTGTAGATGTAGTATTCTGCAACCCCTGTGTAAGTCCTTTTTCACAACGCTATATCATGCTTCTTACAGCACTTAAGCTGCTGGTACATGGGTTTCTGAAGAATGAGGAAGGGTTAATCAGCTTTTGGCAGAGATCAGCAAAATTTGCAAGCATTTTAGCCTCTCCATCAAGACTCATAAAATATTTTGGAAACTACAGGACAAAAAACCAACCCATCCAAGCAGAAAATTAAAAAGCAATCTGCCAGTTCAATGGAATTCAACCTTTGCTAGGCTGCAAATGATGGTAAAATGGTTAAATATTCATTCATGATTACCCAGAGACATAAAGCTACGGTAGAAACATGAAAAAAAAAATACATAGACTATGGGCAGGTGGGAAAGAAAACAGGACTAAATTGTGCATCTTATGGAGCAGTGCTGTTTGTTTTCTTTTAACCTGATTTCTATCAAGATGCTGAAGAACTGTAGATTTAGATAAGATGAGGAAGAAGAGGGGGATCATCTCTCCAACTCCTGGTTTAAAAGGGACACTCTTTTTTCTTTTTGCATTGAATTTTTGCCTAAAATTTCCTTTTATTATAGACGTGTTCTCTTTTTCTTGCTTGAGAGTAAAATATTCCACAAAGTCACCAATCATGAAAGTCAAGAAATGTTTGTTGTATTGACTGTTAATTTCCTAAAAGAAAAACAAAACAACAGCAATAGTTGAATAAGGGAAGACTGAGTTTATTAAGCCTGTCATGGTAAAGAAGAGCACACCTGGACAAAGGAGTGCCTTGAAAAGGGAAGTCAGAGGAGGGTGTTTACACAGGTGCAGCTTCTGGGCTGAGTGATTTTTAAGGCGTCTTGCAAGACAGAGCACTGGATAAGGCCAGGCAGAGTTTAGAACTTAATAGCTTTGGATTGGTGAGCACAGTGTGGCAAGAGTGTTAAAGTGATTACATGAGCAAGGTCTTAATCTTGACAGCTAAGCTGTTTACTTGGTTCATGGCCTTATATTCCAGAAGCAAGCAGTTAAATTATCTTTATTGGATTCAGTATTGTTTAATATAGGGTCAGAGAATGGTGTCCGTTTCAATGTTCTGTTGAGAGTTTACCTATCTTGTGAAGTTTTGGGAGAAAACTTCAACCAAGTTTAGAGATATCTGCTCCATGTCCCAAACTTCCCAGATAAGGGAGATTACTCTGGTATCATTCTCTGCCAGACATCACATCAAGAAATAACAGAAGCTGAAACTGGAATTACATTATAATCCATAAAAGGCTGATAACAGAAAGAAGTATTACAATGACCCTGTCTTCTTCAGAAGATCCAATAAAAAGGCTATGCAAGACTGCAGAAGTTACTACCTCTAATTTCTTGGCTTCCATACATATCATTTTATTTCTTTTCTGGCCTATGAGTCCCAAAATGTGGCATAGATATTGACTCCAAAGAGAGGAAGTGATTAAAATCTACCCCCATTGGTTAGAAGCTGGCCATTACCAATACTCCTGGTATAGCATAAAAATGCCTCAAACAATACGGCATGCAGTACTGCTCTTTGAGGGCTAGTGCCAATTAAGGGAACTTGCATACTTCTGTTTCTTTTATTTTTAACTTACTGTTAGAAAAATGTTAACTAAATTTTTGAGGGGAAATGTTGTCATTACAGAATGCGTGTTTCATTATGCATATCCTATTGGTGAATAATTTGCAAATCCTCATTTGACCTAAGGAGTGTTTGATTGTCAAGCTTTATATCCCCAAATTGCCATCAAGCAGATAACTTGTCTCTATCATTTTTATTTTTGATAGCAATTTTTCTGACTCTAAGAAACCTATAAAGCATAATTGTTCTAAAATATCTCCACTATTAATCCTTTTAGTCTCATTTTTTCAGAACATACTGAAACAGAAATAGTCTGTCACCTCTGCCTCCACCTGCTTTTCTTCTTCCTCCTTGTACTTCAGAGCTAAGGAATGAATACAGAATTTATTCTCTCAGGAGAGTGAAACAATTGATCCAGTAATTGCCATGTCAAGGGTTTTGGTGAGAGAAGTATTCTAAAATCACAATATAATGCAAGTCTCATAAAGGATTTCCTAAACAGTATGTTGCTCTCCCTACTGAATAAAATATACCTCATCCTACATTTCCTCCTTGAGGTCTAATAAGGAGAGACCTATCTGGTCTATGGATTTAACACTCTAAGATAATTTACTTTGGACAAAGATCTTTGGAGAAGCTTCATTATATTTTGAAGTCATTAACATGACTCAAGAAAGTCCCCAATTAAATGAAGATGAGTCATATGACAGTAGGCAACTGTAGATAGTCTCTGCCCCTACATTTTGCCTCTGTAGAAATATTCTTTACATTCATGGGCTTCCATAGGCCTGATGTTTTCCTATTTTTGTTGTTATTCTGCTTCATTACTGCAAATGTCAGACCTTTAAGAGTGAGGTTATTAAACAGCAAAACACAGAGCAATAGGCATTTGTAAAAGATATATATCCAGGGAAGATGCTGCTCTCCCACTGCCAGCCATACAAGCTGAGGCTTCCTTCTCATCACTGAAGAAGACAAGGAGACAAGAAGCACATTATGTCATAAAGGCAATAGGAATCTTGCAAGTAACCTTTTCACCAGAAAACCTCTCATTTGCCCTGCCTTGCATGTACTGTTCTTGAATGATTTATTGCCAAAATATTCTTGAATTTCCCATATTGTTAATTTAATGTTCTTAGTAACAAAAACTAACCGTGGGATTGATATAACAGAAAATTCCAGTCACCTCAGGGCAGAAATTATTATTTTAATCTAGCCATGAAAATAAACATTTTTTTTCAGGAAACTCAAGTCCTTAAAAATGAGGTGAAGTGTGTCTACCACAAAGTGTCGGCAAGCCAGGGAAAGTCAGGCAGGGTGTTCAAGGAAATTAAACACATCCAGCTTCTTTTTTCTACTGTCTTCTTGTTTAGTTCTTCTAAAAATCAGTTTTGATGGGGAGCTCTGGCAAATGTTTGTGTTCCGTTAGTTTAATGTGATAGAGGAAAAAACATTCTGGCTGGCAGCTAGGCTATAAGGGGAGTGCTGAGATTTGAAACAGAAACCACAATTTATAAAACGACTGCAATAAGACTTGTAAAACACATAAATTATAGCAAACCACACAAGAATCACAGATGATCTAAGAATATACTCTTTAACACCAGCTCATTTAGATCTACATGTTCCAAGGTAAGAACACAAATAAACTAATCTGGCAGAAACCATCTAGACTTGTGTTCTAAAGACAACTGTTCCAGTAAATCCTCTTTATTTGAAAATTCAGACCAATCCCTGCTAAGGCCATCTTATCAGGTAATTTTGGCCCCTAAACTCTAAAGGTATCCTTCCCTGACTCTCTCCTTTAGAGACCCCCCCTTACTTCCTGTGATATGCATTCTCCCTGTCAAGCATTTTAATAAGTCTGACTTTAACTGTAATGGTGTTGGTTGCTCTTAGCTGGAAGGCTTTAACTTAAAATACCAGGAAGATTAGAGAGATAACTATAAGTAAAAATCATCTAGGTTATGATAAATAAGCTGTTGAATTACATGACTTGTTTCTAGGATTTTTCTCTAAACATGTATTAAGTCAAACTTTCTCCAATTTGGAGTGAAGTTAATGATATCTTTTAAAGCTTCTCTATAGAAGCAGAGAGTAGAATGGTGATTACCAAAGGCTGGGAAGAGGGGATGGGAGTTGGGGAGATGTTGGTCAAAGGATACAAAATTTCAGTCAAATAAGAAGAATAAATTCAAGAAATGTATTGTACCACATGATGACTATAGTTAATAATAATGTAGTATTCTTGAAAATGGTTGAGTAGATTTTAAATGTTCTTGCCACAAAAAATGATAAAACTATGTCAGATAATGCAATGTTAATTACCCAAATGCAACCATTGCACTATACATATACATATATAAACATCATATTGCACTTAATAAATTTTTTTTATTTAAATAAGTAAATAATTTTTTAAGAAAAACTCTCCAGGTGATTCTAATGTTCAACCAAATATGAGAAAGTATAAGTTAAAATATTAACACCTTTCAATAAAACATTTTTTAAATTACATGATGAATTACATATATAAAATGGATAGGTCCATGGTGAGTGACTTTGACATACATAAACCTCAGTCAAGGTATACCCCATACCCAAGAACATTCCCTCATTCCCCTTTCCATTCAGCCCCCTCCCATAAGTAAGGATTGTTTTTCTAGCACCATAGATTAGTTTTGCCTGTTCTTGACCTTCATGTGAGTGAAATCACACACCAGAGCGGTTGTTAAAGATGACTGACATGAGATCCAAAAATGTCAACCTAGAATGAAAGGGCTTCAGCTTTGAGAAGCTCTTCAGATACATTTCACTGTAATACCCTAATTTTCCACTTGAGATCAACAAGATCACACAGCTAGTTGATGGCATAGTTGTGAACAAATTCATTGTTTCCTAAACCCTCTTTACTGATATTCCTTCTGTCATTCATCAACATGTTGATAAGTAGCAACTAAACTATAAACTTCAAAATATATCTAAAACCTCAATTTTTACTGCTTCTCCTTTAGTTCAGGCCTGATGAACTACTTAACTAAACTTTCCAGACAAACTTCCAGACTGGTCTCTGTCTTTAGATTCTTACTTATTTATTCATTCATTAAAAAACCACTCCTTGGGAATTCATAGTCTAATGAACCTCATTTTGCAGTCCACTCCTGACTTTATTACACAGATCTGATTATGAAGTCTTCATTGGTTTTAATTATCAGGGTTACAAATATGTGGGCTGCTGACTAAAGGCAATCCACAGAGCTGATTTTTCCTTCTCATAAAATTAGTTTAAAAATTAAATTACTTGCTAATAATTAAAACTGGGACAATTCTGAGTGATAATTTAGTACCCTGAGTTTTCTTGAAACATAAGAATGTCTAATAACACAGAGTTCTCACTTTTCTTCTGTAATCACTGGAAACTGAGGAGTGAATATGTTCTTTAGTTTATTACAGCTGCAACAAGTGACTCACTGTGTTTCTGACAATGTGGCCACATGCAGCCACACTTCATTTATCTGTCACCTTCTTACCTATTTAGGCATTTTACATTTTCACCCTAGTTTTCTGAGATGAAGTCTAAATTCTTTGTCCAGGCAAGTGAGGCCTTTGCCTTTAACAGCACACTTTCCGCTACATCTTACTGAATTATATCCAGCCTAAAACAGTTGTTCTTCCCTGAGTAACAAAATATGAATGATAACACTATTTTGATTGGAAATCTAACAATTTTGCTTTTCTTCTCTTTTTTCCCCCATAGAAATAAGGAATAGTTGTATTTTCCCTTACTTCTTGGGATGGCATCCTCACCCCCATGAGGAAAGATAACTAGGATCTCAGTTGATTAGGCTTTAAAGTTAATAGGAAATTAGAGTCTATATTTAAAGAACAAGAAAAGCAGGGCCTTTATCACAAGAAGCAGAGTGCCTTGAAGGAGTTGATATTAAGCAGGTTGTGTTTCTTTTGCCTGCTGAGCCGGGCTCTAGTAGACCAATAGTGAAAATGTGGTTCTTGCTAAGGAAGATTGCAAACCAGTCTCAGAGACGGATAAGTCACTAGATAGTGTTGACAGTATAGGAATCATCACAGGGTACTCTTGTAGCATAGGAGGGAGTAGTATATACTAGAGGACCTGCCATCTGGACTAGAGGAAGTTATTTCTAAGTGTCTGAAACTTAGGCCTGAAGAGCTAGTACATATATGAGTAAGCAAAGCAAAAAGGTGTTTAGGCAGGGGAAATCTCAAAGATAAATGGATAGCTCACCAATTCAAGGTATCTTTGGGGTAGTTTACCATAGTCACAGAGAAGCTCAGGTAGGAGGGAGTATGGAAAGTCAATGATTAGGGGATTTGGAGAAAAATTGAGTGGAACAGAGGTAGAGGATGAAATCATTAGCCCTTGCATTTTATTCAGTGTAATTTTCCTTCTTTCCTGAGGGAGTGGGAGTTATCAAAATATTTTTTGGAGAAGTGTAGGATGACAGAATTGTAATATCAGCTACCGTGAACTGTTCGAAGTTCTCTTTGTAACACAAAAAAACAAAAACTGATTTATTCATAGTTTATTTTTTAAAAATACTTTAAATTCTGGGATACATGTGCAGAACGTGCAGGTTTGTTACATAGGTATACACTTGTCACGGTGGTTGGCTGCACCCATCAACCCATCATCTACATTAGGTATTTCTCCTAATGCTATACCTCCCCTAGACCCTCACCCCCCAACATGCCCTACTGTGTGATGTTCCCCTCCGTCTGTCCATGTGTTCTTATTGTCCAACTCCCACTTATGAGTGAGAACACGCGGTGTTTGGTTTTCTGTTCCTGTGTTAGTTTGCTGAGAATGATGGTTGCCAGCTTCATCCATGTCCCTGTGATCATTAAAAAGTCAGGAAACAACAGATGCTGGAAAGGATGTGGAGAAATAGGAATGCTTTTACACTGCTGGGAGTGTAAATTAGTTCAGCCATTGTGGAAAGACAGTGTGGCAATTCCTCAAGGACCTAGAACCAGAAATACCATTTGACCCAGCAATCCCATTACTGGGTATATACCCAAAGGATTATAAATCATTCTACTATAAAGACACATGCACATGTACGGTTATTGCAGCACTATTTACAATATTCAGAGGTTTTATGGTAATATTGGTAAACAAATATAGCAAATAGATTTTAAAAATGAAAACAATGGATCATGATATATTCCACCTCATATGATCAGAATTCATTTAGAAATGGGCTTCAGGGGGCTTGTGGCATTCAGAGAAGGCTTTATATAAGAAATGGAACATCCTCCTAAAGGAAACATGGGTGTTGAACTACAGTGAGATTGGGGGTAAAACATTTCAAGTTGAAAAGTTTGAGGCCATGGTATGTGTATTTGTGTGTGTAGCTTAGAGGGAAGACTGATGTTGGGAGATTCTGAAATGTGACTGATAGCTAATAATTTTGAAATTGACTTGGTAGAAAATTTCTGACTCTTCTTAAGCAGGAGAGTGGCCTAATGAAAATAATGTTTGGATTATTGCGTGTGGCATTCAAGTTTTCTAGAATGCAAAGATTGGTATTAGCAAGAGCTGTTGGATGGATAGCAAGATACACTACCAAATAAATAATTTAGAAAATTTGAAGGTACAAAACACCAGTGTAAACAATGTTTCCAGAGTTGAAACCTGAAGCTCAGGTCTCCAAATCACTTTCCCTGTAGGAGGAGTGAGGAAATCAGTTTTCCTTGTAATAGAGCTGCCTCCCCTTCTATTCTTTCTACTTGGTACCATCTAAGTTATACTTGGTCTCAGAAATTATCATAACAGGTTGTATTACTCCATTCTCACACTGCTGTAAGGGCACACCCAATAGTGGGTCATTTATAAAGGAAAGAGATGTAATGGACTCACAGTTCCACATGAGGGGAGGCCTCACAATCATGGTAGAAGGTGAAGGAGGAGCAAAAGCACATCTTACATGGTGGCAGCAAGCAGAAGTGCTGAGTGTAAGTCTCTTATAAAACCATCAGACCTCGTAAGAACTCACTCACTATCACAAGAACAGCGGCACTGGGGTAACTGCACCCGTGATTCAATTACCTCCCACTGGGTCCCTCCCATGATTATGGGAACTACAATTCAAGATGAAATTTGGGTGGAGACACAGCCAAACCATATGAGATCATTCTAACAGTAATAGGTATCTCTGTTGATGTATCCACCTGAAGAAGAGAGGGAGACAGGCAGGGGAGTCGTTTAGGTCGTAAGCACTTAGTGTGACTTTTCAGCCACGGTGTAAGTTCGAGTGTGTCCAAAGGTCTGAAAGCCCAAATTTCACAGGTGTACAGAATGTGTAGGTTTACCAGGACTTATTCTACTCCCAATGGCATCTTTGTTTTGCATAAGAGTCTGGTATTCTTATAATTCTTTTCTTTTCTATTATTTTGAGACTTTAATTAAGCCATAGAGTGTAACTGTAAATTCATGTGACCTGAAACTGTAATTTTTATTATGTTTCTTCTTAATTTACACATTGGAAGCCATTTTGTTTTTTAATTTTTATTTTTTGATTTTATTTTATTGTGGTAAGAACCCTTAAGATCTATCCTCTTAAATGTTTAAATATATAATGCAGTAGTGCTGACTACAGGCACAATGTTACTCCAGACCTCCCTGATTTTGCACAACTGAAATTTCATGCCTGTTTATTTATAACTTACCATCCCTCTTCCCTCAGCTCCTGGAAACCACCATTATGGTCTTTGATTTGGCTATTTTAGGTACCTCCTCCCAGAGAAATCATGCAGGATTTGTCTTTCTGTGACTGGCTTATTTCATTTAGTATAATATCCTCAAGATTCATCCACATTGCATATTGCAGAATTTTCTTTATTTTAAATCCGGATAGTATTCCACTGTCTGTGTGCGCTCATCCATTAATGAACACTTAGGTTGTTTTCATACCTTGGGTATTGGGAATGTTGCTGTGATAAACGTGGAAGTGCTAATATCTCTTCAAGATCCTGGTTTTAATTATTTTGGATAAATGCTCACGGTGGAATTACTTTATCATGGTTTTTTTTTTTTAAAGGAACCTTAATACGGTTTCCGTAGCAGCTGCACCATTTTGCATTCCTACCAATACCATGCATGGGCTCCATATCCTCACAGACACTTGCTGCCTACTGCATTTTTTTCAACTTTTATTTTAAGTTCAGGGGTACATGTGTAGGTTTGTTACACAGGTAAACTTTTGTCATGGGGGTTTGTCATACAGATTATTTCATCACTCAGGTATTAAACCTGGTACTCATTAGTTATTTTCCCTGACTCTCCCTCCTCCCACCCTCCACTCTCTTTTGAAAGGCCCCAGTGTGTGTTATTTCCCTCTATGTGTCCACGTGTTTTCATCATTTCACTCCCATTCATAAGTGAGAACATGTGGTATTTGGTTTTCCATTTCTGTGTTAATTTGCTAAGGATAATGGCCAACGTCTCCATCCACATCCCTGAAAAGGGTATGATTTTGTTCTTTTTTATGGATGCATAGTATTCCTTGGTGTATGTGTACCACATTTTCTTTATCTGGTCTATCGCAGATGGGCATTTAGGTTGATTCCAGGTCTTTGCTTTTGTGAATAGTGCTGCAAAGAATATACACTTTTGACTCAACAATCCCATTACTGGGTATATACCCAAAGGAACATAAATCATTCCATTATTAAGACACATGTCTTTTGCTTTTTTCATAATCACCATCCTGAGAGAAATGAGGTGGTGTCTCATTGTGGTTTTGATGTGCATTTCCCTGATGACTAGTGACGCTAAGCAATCTTCATAGGCCTTTGGGCCCTTGTGTGTCTTCTTTGGATGAAAGTCTGGTCAAGTCCATAGCTCATTTTTGTTGATGTTATTATAAAGTTCTGTTATCATTGTTGTTTTTGTTAGTGAGTTGGAGTTTCTTATATATTTTGGAAATTAATCCCTTATCAGATATAAGATTTGGAAATATTTTCCCATTCTCTAGGTTTTTTTTTTTTTTTTCGTTTTGTTAATTGTTTCCTTTGCTGTACAGAAGCTTTTTAGTGTGATATATTCCCAGTTGTCTATCTTTGGTTATGTTGTCTGTGCTTTAGGTGTCAGAGTCATGAAATTATTGCCAAGACGAATGTCATAAAAGTTTTCCCATATGTTTTCATCTAGGAGTTTTCTAGTTTCAGGTCTTAATTTGGGACTTTAATTCATTTTGAATTGATTTTTGTATGTGTAGTATAAGAGTCCAATTTCCTTTTTTTTTTTTTGCATGTGGATGTTCAGTTTTGTCAACAACATTTGTTAAAGAGACTATCTTTACCCAATTTCCTATCTTTGGTATCAAGCCATTTTAACAAGAATTTTAACACTATACATTTTCTGAGAGATGCATATGCTTAGGATGAACAGTTTAAATTACTAAATTGATAGCACATGCCAGATTAAGTTCTGTTATGTCTTTACTGTAATTCTTTGATATTTTTAATATTTCAAGTACAGATACATTCTAATTTTGATTTAATTCTGCCAGAGCAAAATGTATCTTATTTGTTTATATTGAATCAATATTAAGGAAATATTTACACAAAAATATGATCATATATTTTAAATATCTGTACTGTAAGGAAAATGCTTTTATATCTTAAAAGTTATTGAAAACCATGGGTATTATTAGGAAACATTAGTCATTATTTTGATTAATAGTTTAGGCTAAGTCACTTGAACCCCTGATGGTGCCTGTCAGATTGTGGAATACACATATATCTATTTGCAGCCTCTCTGTCATAAGGGCTATGACAAAAATTATTATTTAAAAACTATTTTGAGTTTCACAGAAGGAGGCTATAATTTCTATAAATTCATGTTTATGTGACTTTGAAGTAGATTCAAACAAATGTTATTAATATCAATTTATCCTGTTAATCTAGGGACACAGCACACTGATATTTCCCAAGAAAGAGTAAAAGATTGAAAGGACATCAATAGGTAAAACCATCATTTGCTGAAAACTCTTTGCCCTGAGAAGCAGAAGCCTGTCAAAGTCCAACACAACCATATATCAACCTCCCTGTCAAGGACATCACACCTGCAGTAGAATCAACACTGTAACAGGTTGAGGATGACCTTAGTGTTGTGCTATTGATTTAGTCTCCATGTTGTTATTAGTCTGATATTCTAAGGTTCAATGAATTTGATCCACATAAAGTAAGTATCAAAAAGAAAAGCGTGGAACCTAAAAAGCTCCAGTCAAAAGCAATCACTTCCAGGTTTTCAAACATAAAAATTAAAGGGATTAAACTTGGATTGATTAAACTTAGGGGAACGGGACTAGTAGATTTGATAATTGTGTTATTTGAAGATCAACTGAATTTTTGCACAAACCTTCATGGCCAATAGAAATGAGTTGTGCCCCCATGTACCTAAGGGTCACCGATCTGCAACCTACAAGTAGGGTGACCTGATTTGCCTGAGACTCTTCCGGTGACCAAACTCAACTCATCATTGACATTAAAAGGAGAGCTTTTAAAATATAGATCCTATGGGCAGCAATTCAGAGTTACAGAGTCTAACCTTATAGCAGTGAGGTCCATTAATCTGTTTTTTTTTTTTTTTTTTTTTTTTTTTTATAAAGTACCCGAGATGGTTTTGATAATATGGGTGCTTGGGAAACTCTCCTCCGAAAAACATAGAGTTCCTGATTTGGAAATCTTGCTGCTTAAATAAAATATGTGTATATGTGCACACATGTGTGGTGTCTATTTTTCCCTTTCCTTTTTCCAAAATGCCAACAATTATTTCCCCCTGTGTATTATGACTATAGCTTGTGCAATTACAATGTTTGTATGTATCACAGTTGATTCTAATTAAGTATTAAGACGTTTTATATACTAGACCAAGAACTTATTTAAGAACTTATTCCTCTCTTTTTCTGTTTGCAATGATCAGCATAGAGCCTGTATATAGAAGGTATTCCATAAATAAGCTAATTAATAAGACAAGACACTTGGAACCATTCAGATTTTTAAACCTGTTCCACAGGACATTGAAGAGAAATATTCAGGGGATGCTTCATGAATGAAGTGACACCTGAAGAGAATCTGGAATACACTAAGGCCCAGACAGGGAGGAGAGGTTTATAAGCAGGAGGGAAAAAATAAGAATAATACCATGTTGACAGGCATGATTGCGGGAAAATTTGTAGATGGTGGAAAGTGTGATTTGGTAACGTAAATATTTTAGATTCTTCACCAAGGGGCAATAAGATGGCAGTAGAGTCTTAGTAAGGCACATGTGATCATAATGAATATGTTTGGAGTCAAGAGAAGCTGGTATAAGGAAATTCTGGTGGATGTTTACACCATATAGTACGAACGTCCTGCTCAGAGTCAAATGATTTCAGTTTCAAAATGTGCCATGTTGGTGTGCTGCACCCACCAACTCGTCATTTAACATTAGGTATATCTCCTAATGCTGTCCCTTCCCCCTCCCTCCACCCCACAACAGGCCCCAGTGTGTGATGTTCCCCTTCCTGTGTCCATGTGTTCTTATTGTTCAATTCCCACCTATGAGTGAGAACATGTGGTGTTTGGTTTTTTGTCCTTGCGATAGTTTGCTGAGAATGATGGTTTCCAGCTTCATCCATGTCCCTACAAAGGACATGAACTCATCATTTTTTATGGCTGCATAGTATTCCATGGTGTATATGTGCCACATTTTCTTAATCCAGTCTATCATTGTTGGACATTTGGGTTGGTTCCAAGTCTTTGCTATTGTGAACGTACCCTAAAACTTAAAGTATAATTAAAAAAAAGAATAAGAGGCCAAAAGACACTAAAAAAATGAATGAAAGAAACCCATGCCTTATCTCTTGTTATATAAGTAGTGTTATTTATTTTCTGGTCTATGTATGATTTATACCGCAGGACCACATTTGTACAGAGTCCAGCTCCTGAGCAAGCTTTTGTGGTGGGCAGCATATGACCATAAACAAAGCTTATTTTTCTCCTTCTTCCCATCTCTTTTCTTCCCTCTTTTCCTTCTCCTTCCATTTCTCCCCACCTTTTCAGAGAACGAGACTGCATTGATTAGTTCTGAGTTATTCAGCTCATATGATGTAATCATTTTAATGTATGTGATGAGTAAGATACAATCTCCTCAATTTCAACTACAGATTGCTGACATAATGAAAAAAATATATTTATATATGTCACTGGAAATAGATAAAAAATGCAACTGATATAAGCTGGGCTCATGAAGGGTCCTATAATACTCTGTGGAATTCACACCATTCTAACAGCCATGAAGAAATACTGAAGTATTTTAAGCAAAGTTGCAACTATTATTATATATTCATTATAGCTTTATCATGCCTAAATACTATTGTATAAAGTTTTCTTCCCACACGTCAGAAACAATAAGATTCTGAAAAATATTATAATAAAGTTATTCTTCTGACAAATGAATCCTAGAGAAAATTCCCCACCTGCAACAGTTCCTTCCTCAGTTTTCTCTGACTCAATACAATTTCATTCTTTTCGTTTTGCAGCTCAAAAATCTTGGTGCTATCATTGTCTCTTCTCAGTTTCTCTCTTAGACCTAACGCATTAACTTCACACTACTTTCAAAATATATTCTGGGTTCGATCACTTCTAACCAACCAAATTTAAGCTACCATTGGATTTTTCTCACCTGGATTATTACGGCACACCTTTAAATTCCTGTTTTTGCTCCTACCCACAATATGGTAGCCAGAAAGATCCTGTTAATTTAAGTCAGATTACAGCACTTCCCTCCTCTAACGACTTTCCTTCTTTCTTTCCTCCCCCTAACGACTTTCCTTCTCTCTTAGAGTTAAAATCAAATGCACTTATTGTAATGTATGAGACCCCTCTTGGTTTGTGCCCCCATTATCTCCCTGCCTTCATCTGTTTTGACTCTTCCCCTCTGCTCTCTCCTTTAGTCACATGGTCCCCTTGCTTTATGAACATCCTGGCATTCTCCCGACATTGTACATACATGCAATGCACTCAGCCTGAAAAGTCTTTCCTCAGATAAATGCATGTCTGACTCCCTAATTCCCTTCACTCCCTTCCTATCTTCATTCCAAAGGCCACTTTCCAGTAAAGGCTTACTTTGCCGCACTGTCTAAAATTTTACCCCTTCTCTCCAAAACTTTTTCATATTCCCAATTGTACTATGTTATTAATTTGGTGCAAAGTATTTGTGGTTTTTGATAATAATTGTGAATATTACTTTCTCTCTACTGGAGAGAAAGCTCTTTGAGACATGTATTTTAGTCTCTTCTGTTCACTGTTATATCCCCTGATATGTCAGTATCTGATACATAATAGGTACTCAGTAAACATTTGTCAAATACATGAATATATGAAATTATGACAATATTTGAAATAATTCTAATTATATTTGAAATGCTAGAACATATATTTATGTCTATTCTTGAATCATAACATAGAAGAAGTCTATAGAAAACTCCATTCTTTTATTTCTTATATAATCTATATATTGGATTGTTCTTTTGAGCTCTGAGAATATCAAATTAAAAGTACTGAAGTAAATACTAATTAGTTTCTATCGGTACCTTTATTTGTTCTGAATGTTTCTCACTTGATGTTTAGTGTTAGATATATACCAAGACAAAATTAAATAAAATAGATAAGTGTTTTTCCTATAATTCATCCTAATTATTCACATTTAAAATTTAGAAGGGACTTTATTAGATGCACTTTTTATCTATTTTTAGATAGGAAAGGCCAATTTGCATTCTCTTCAAGGAAATAATTGGTATTCATAAAAGTTGGACTAACAATTTCATTTACATTTGAAAGAAAATTAAAATTAATCCAATGTAGGATATTATACAAAGATTACTATGCAAATATATTTTTAAAAGTTGCTATATCACATAGTGAACATTTCAATGGAACATTCTAAAAATGTTGAGGTTTTGTTTCTTAAAAAAAAAATACATTCATACGTAAGTGTGAGCTCTTCTCACTTCCATAATAGAAGTGAGAATTATGCTGTCTGCGTACTCATGACCGGCATAGTTTTCCACAAGTGCTGGCTTTAATAGGTGAATATAAAATGATGTGATTTTTTCTTTTTTACTGACATGAACATTATTATTGTGCCTTTGGTTGAAATAAATACTTGAAATGTTTGAACACACACACAGCCCCATATAAAACAGTTAAAAAGTTGTTCTTTTGGGCATTCCATTTGTTGGTCAGATATCTGTATTAACACCGATTCATATCCCTCAAGCTGATGAGAATGCAGTGTAACTAACGTTGAATCTAAGGCCAAAAAGTATCTACAAACAACTGGAGCCTTGCTGGAACCATTTGAGGCCGCCTTCTGACCTCCTGTCTCGGCATATAGCTCTGCCAGTGCTTTAACTTGAACTAGTGAGATCTGAAGCCCCTAAAAAAATACTCATTTTTATAGCTTCTAACGACAGTATTTGTCTTTTGTGTGGAAATCATTTTTCAGCCTCAAACCCTTAGATTGGGTTCATGTGGATTTCAAAATAAGTTGTCTTAAAAATATTTTGCTCCATAATAATTAAAACCCATATCAACACATTTTTGGTAACTATTTTTTTGCAATCCTTCATATTAAGAGAATTGTAATACTTTTTTTAAAAAATTATATGCTTAGCCATTTGTATGTCTTTCCTCTACAAATTCCTCAAAAGTCCCACATATTTTTTTCTGAAATCTCCTCTATTCTCTCTTAGTTTGTTGTGTTATATTGTACATGGAGATGAAGGATGGTATAATGTTTAAAAGATTTTTGGCTTTCTGAGGAGTGTTTGTTTGACTTATTTGCTTTTCTGCAGAGCAGTGGACACAGCTCACAGGCTGGCCGTGCTACCAGCTCTTGCTATTATTCACTGTAAACTCGGTGTGCAGGGTACCGACCACAGACAGCTGCCCAGGCAGGTGGTGTGCACTGCACAGAGTCTCCGAGGTAAGGCAGCGTAAGAGCCAGCAAGACCTTTTTAACAAAATAGGCGTTAGCCAGGGTGAAAATGGGGAAATTGCACATATATAGCACTTGAGTGTCCATAAGTTGCATTTCACCTCCTTTTTTCTCACTGAACCTCATAATCATCCTGAGATCTACTTACGTATTATTTGTCCCATTTTCCAAATAAAGAAAATGGGGTAAAGAGAGGTTAACTTATTTGCCAAATAAGAGATAGTGGATGAAATCTTGATCCTCTTACTACAGGTTTCTTACTCTTCCCTCAGCAGCTCAGCCTCCTCTATTGCTCAGCAGGCATTGTGGAGTGAATGGCACAGACCTCTCCATTCATAAGTCCCTCTTTCCCATTTTCTTTCTCCTTCAAAGAGCACTGGTACAGTCACCTGAAAAGCTAAAGATGCAGTGTGACAACTGCTACATCAGCAATTCCAGACCCACCTTCCCACACCATCTCACCCCTACCTTGAAAAGAAACCTTTGCTTTAGATTAACATTAATTAAGTCATGCATTAGACTAACATAAGACTTTATCTATTATCTATCTAATCTAATCTTTTATTCTATCCATCTATCTACCATCTATTATGTATCATCTATTTACTGAATTATATATCTAATCTTCTATCTCATCTATTTATCGATTTATCCATCTATATGTAATCTACTCTGTATCATCTGTCTGTCTATCTATCTATCTATCTATCTATCTATCTATCTATCTATCTATGCGATATCTATCACTTTTCAACACCTAATTCACAAAAAAGAAGCCATGAGGGAGATTGTAGACTGTAGGAGAGGTACACTTATATATGTAAACATTTAGAGAACAATAAAAGACTACAAAACAATATTATGTTTAATGAAATTACCATCCAAAAAACGTGTTTGGGTGAGCAAGTGGTACCACATCTGAGGGAAAGTTGATTGTGTGGTAGAAAAACAGAGCCTTTGGCATCAGAAGGACTGAGTACAAACCTTGGCTCTGCCAATTAATATTGGGTGACCTGGAAGAACATGTCTAACTTCTCCAACATACACATTTTTTTTCTTGTAAAAGTGATGGTTATAGACTCTTCTAACAGAAGTGTTACAAAGATTAAGTGATTAATGTCTGTAAAGCTGAAGCTCAGTGCCTAGCATACAATCCACTCTCAAAAAAGAGAGCAGGTTTCCACACCTGTAATTCTTAATAAACTTCATTAAATAGCAATGTCTAATTATTTTGTTACATAGCAATATTTTATCAGCAACGTTTATTGGATTCCAACAAATATTCTTTCAACAAATACACAAAGAAATGGAATATTTCATGGTTATACTTTTTTCTATTGTATAATGTCAGTCTTTTTTTTTCTCAAGTAGTAATTAAAACTTGCTTTGAAAAATACTAGTGTAACCTAAAACTACTGTATTCCTTAAAAGTACTTAGAATAAGGAGAGGGCAGCAAAACACCACAGGAAGTATAGGGGATTGCATCCCAGACAGACATGGTCTTGGCTTCTGGATCTGCCTCTTGGTAGCTGTGTGACTTTGGATGAATTGCTTAATCTCACCTTGTTTTAAGTGAGATAAAATGGGGAAAATAATATTTACCTCACAGTTCTGATAGGAGGGGTAATAACATAACGCATGTAAATCATGCAGAACAGCGTATTATGATAGGTGCCTAATAACTGTTAATTCCCCTTCTTCTCTTTGTTTTACTTTCTTCTACTTTTCTGTCCCTAATATTCTGATCATAACACCTCCAGGAACAAAAGAAGAAAGACAGAAATACTAGGACAGTTAAGAAGATCCAGTGAGAAAAACTCATATAGAGAAGACAAGATTATTGAAAATTCTAATCATTTCACTGAAACTGATGTTTCCTTGAAACAAACATTACCCATAAGAATGGCTGCCATGGTTTATTTAGGAAACAAAGTGTAATATTTACAGGGGCAGAGAGGACAGCATAAGAATGAAAAGAGTTAGTGAAATCTGACCTTTGGTGAGCTGGCACTATTTAGTAAATCTCCCTTGCCTTGGTGAAAGGGATTGGCTTCCAGTACAGTTAATTCCACATGGAAGAGAAATATAGGAGCTTTAGCCCTGAGGGATATTGCTCTATAAGCCCAGGTTCTTTTCAGATTATTCTGGTTGATTAAACACACAGAGAAATAACCCTTTTAAAGTTGTACATATATTAAGAATTGGAGTAGGCATATAAGCATCACCTTACAACCGACAAAACAGATTTCCAAGCAACATACAATTTAAATTAATGCAGTTGTACGTAATAATGATTATTTTCCAAATGATCTATTTGATTGGTATACATGCTTTCTGACTCTTCTCCCAACAGTGCCATCAGCTGTAAGGGAAGGATTGTGGACTAAACTCACTCCCGATATTTAGATTATGAAGGCAAAGAAACTATGGAGAGGATAAGACAGGAATTTTTAAAAGGAGAGGACTAAGAAGACAGGGGCAGTATGTACTATATTGTTACCCTCCCAGGCTGGAGGTGTGGAAAACTATTATAAACCGCTAATGATCATTTTTTTGGTGTTCGTTATTAGAACCAATGGAAGGAAACATAGCAGGTGAACCTCACTGTATTCTCTAAGGTCTTTCCAGAAAAGTTGTGCCTTTATAATTAATTCTATTGTCTATTAGAGTATACAGTTAAGTGCATATACCAAACTTCTTTGGTA
Organism: Homo sapiens; assembly: GCF_000001405.40. Lineage (NCBI taxonomy): Eukaryota > Metazoa > Chordata > Mammalia > Primates > Hominidae > Homo > Homo sapiens. The sequence continues at coordinate 146,557,515 of NC_000007.14, forward strand.
AAATGTATAGAATTAAAGACTTTCAGGGCTGATAAGAGGCCCAGTAAGTCATACAGGTTAGAATTCTCAGAAAGTTAAAAGCCTTATGAGAAATTTCCATTGGCTCAAATCAGATGAGAATAAAACTTGATCCTACGTGTCTTAATATTCAGTCTAGGAGACTTGCCAGTACCCAGTGCTTCTTTATTGACTGATTAACCATTTTCTAACTCACTAATTAGGCAAACCAGAATATTTGTATGCTCCCTGTGTGTGATTGTCTAGGTTGCAAATTGAGCTAATTTAATTTTGTTGTTTACAATTGATACATTTATTTTTGATATCCTTTGGTAGCCTTTTGTTAGAGGTGAGAGTTATAGTTTTATTTCCTGATCACACTATCATCTCATGTTAAAATGAGGGTAAAAACACAACAATCAAATTCTACAACATTTTCAAACACTTATTAGCAATGAAACAGAAAATGTAATACAATCTACCCTGTAAGTTTAATTAAGTCTCAACCTTTGTGTTTTTTAGTACTGTGACAAACTCCGGGCATGACAGTTTCACTTAGACAGACATGACAGTTTTCTGTTAGCAGGACCTGGTTACCTTGTAGCTGGAATCAGGCCAAAGCATCTTCTGGAAGAGGTTGCTCATAGGACTTGTGGACATTCATAGCCTGAGGCACCGGGGTGAAGAGTGGAAGTGACACTCTAGGTGCTGGGACATGTTGTGCACATGACAGAGGCCCCACGTGGTATCTTAGCAAGTCCACATGTTTTATGTCACTCATGAAACATTTCAGTAATGAGAAATCATTGCCCCTCTGCATGATGATAATGAAAATTTTGAAGGTTATTAGGAATCAGCATAGCTGATGGATTATAAGAACGACATCTGGCATGTACTTTTTTTTTAACCACTTTATTTGGGTATGATTGACATATAAAAACTTTACATATTTAATGTATCCAACTCAACAAAGTTGGAGATAAGTATGGACCCTTGAAGCCATCACCACAATCTGTCATAACCCTATCCATCAACTTCAAAAGTTTCCTTCTTCCTTTTTATTTATTTATTATTATTATGATTTTTTTGGGGGGGAAATAAGAACATTTAATATAAGAGGTACATTCTTAGCAAATTTTTAAGCACACAGCACCGTATTGTTAACTCAAGGTGGATACTGTATCTCTAAGACTTATTCATCTTGGAAAACCAAACTTTGTATTCTTTAACTAACACTATCTTCTCCCATATCTCTCCTGATCCCACCCCTGGCAACTACCATTCCACTCTCTGCTTCTATTAACTACTTCAGATTCATCACCTAAGTGGTACCATGTAGTATTTGTTCCGTGTCTGGCTTATTTCACTTAGCACAATGTCTACAAGATTCATCTCTGTTGCCTGAGTGTGGGATTTTGATTGGCATCTCAAATCCTGACAATTTCTGCAGTATGTTTATTGTACGAGTTTTTCAAAGATTTGCCAACTGTCCCATAAAACTAATATGCATTTAAAATAAAGTTTTTAAAAATATAACAAACAACAAAGTTTGAGTTGGGCAGGAGGAATATATTTTGAGATCTACTGCACAGCAGGATGACTATAGTCAATAATAACATATTGAGTATTTCAAAATAACTAAGAGAGTAGGTTTCAAATACCTGACCATCATTTCACATTGTGTGATATGTATATATACATACACACACACACACATATATATCACATTGTACCCCATAAATGTATATAATTTATCAATTAAAATAATATTAATTTGGCCAGGTGTGGTGGCTCATGCCTGTAATCCCAGCACCTTGAGAGGCCGAGGTGGGCAGCTCACGAATTCAAGAGATAGAGACTATCCTGGCTAACGTGGTGAAACCTCGTCTGTACTAAAAATATAAAAATTAACTGGGTGTGTTGGCGTGTGGCTGTAGTCCCAGCTACTCGGGAGGCTGAGGCAGGAGAATCACTTGAACCCGGGAGTGCGGAGGATGCAGGGAGCCGAGATCACGCCACTGCACTCCAGCCTGGCAACAGAGCAACACTCTGTCTCAAATAAATAAATAAATAAAATAAAAATAAAAAGAAACAGAAAAATCGAATTATTTTATTTCCTATGAATAAGGCATTTATAAATTATTGTGGAAAGTGCCTGTATAACAGAATATTTTTTGAATATCATAAGTTTGATATTTATTTCAATCATATTTTGGATAGATTTCAGCCCATTGCTAATCATCCATTCTCCTTGTTTTATGCAATGTCAAAGACCACTTCATTTTGCTTTGGATAAATAAGTTTTATTTGATGAATGCTGTTGTCATTTAAATTACATACAAAAAAAATGACACAATTACATTAAATACATGGAAATTAAATGCCCGTCTCCTTCCTACACACCCACACACATTTACATATCTATACCTTTGTCATGTCATCTCTTCCCACAAATTATAATTTTAGCCATTTTTTCTGTATTTAAAATGAATAATTATCTTTCACCAGTTAAAACACTTTTATTTGCTTGCAGAAACGTAATCATTTTCTAATAAAATAGTAGCAGACACTGCAGTAAATTCTAGCCAGAATTTGGTTATTATATTAATCTCACTTCCCATCACTGAATTCCTTTGCAGGGTAATTAGATTGCTATCTGATTCTATCTTGAGTCCACCAAGTCAAGGTGCAGGCAGGTGGAAAGTGTGTTAAATAAGTGTCCTGCTTGATGGGTTCTTTTTAATGCCGATGAGTTTGTGCCAGTACAAATAAAATTATATAAATTACTGTCAATCATTAGAGGTTTAAAAAAGCCAGGTTATTTATTATGATGGTGTATATACATATATGTTTATATACATATATATGTGTGTATATATGTATGTGTATATGTGTGTGTATACACGTGTGTGTATATATAAATATGTGTGTTATATGTGTATATATATGTGTGTATGTGTGTGTGTATATATATATATTTGGCTAAGAGTTTCTTATAAGCATTTCATACATGGCTAATTATTTCTCCAGCTTTACTATGCACAGCTATCAACCTAAGCCCTACTCTAGCTGATCATCCCTAAATTCCCTTCAGAATCCTGCCATATTAGAGTAGGAGAAAGAGATGATACTTTTGTGTCAAGTGAGTAGAGTGAGAATATGTCAGTTTTCATATTTATAGAGTGACGTTTGACATCTTTAAAGAGAAGTTCCTGACCTTCCCTTTGTCTTTTTCTAACCAAGAAAATGTCAGCCACTTCCATTGCCTATCTCCAGCCGCATCTAGTACTTCTCTCTATTCCAAAGCTTCAACATACTCTTCTGTCATTATCTGATCATCTATTGGTCTTCCTCTTTCATTTCAATTCAAGGGACCTTGACTTATTTCTCATGGTTGTCTTATCAGAACAGTTCCTGATGAAATTAATTTACTGAATGCTGGAACAATTCCAGCCTTCATTACATAAGGAATTCAGTGAAACCTTCCTTAAGCTCACAACTCTAGTGTCAATTATATATTATAAACACACAATCACAAACATTTTTAAAAACATGTCTGCATTATAATGTCAAAGGTAGAAAGAAATTGCCCATCATCGTCCAGGTTGTCTTGACCATCCTTAAGAGTGCCTTCTACATTTCCCTTCCATATTTTCTTTAATGATAGAAAATTGTGTAGAAGACAATAGAAGAGGAACTACCCCCTCTAGGTCAATAAGACTTTTCAACCACCCCCAAAGGTAATATCTAAATTGTACAACCAGAATTTACCTGACTGGCCAGCATATATAAAAGGGGCCATTACAAAAGTATGGCACACAGGTCAGAATAGAGATATTCTTCTGAAACAAATTACAATAAGGTCGGGTACAGTGGCTCACACCTGTAATCCCAACACTTTGGAAAGCCAGTGCAGGTGAATCACTTGAGCCCAGGAGTTCCAGACCAGCCTAGGCAACATAATGAGACCCTGTCTCTCCATTTTTTAGAAAAAAAAATTAGCAGGGCGTGGTGGCACACACCTATAGTCCTACCTACTTGGGAGGCTGAGGCGGGAGCGTCGCTTGACCTAGGGAGTTCCATGCTGAAGTGAGCAGTGATTGAACCACTGCACTCAGACTGGGTGACAGAGCCAAACCTTGTCTCAAAACAAAAAATGAAGAAACTCCACAAAATCACAATGACCTCCTCCTCCACAGTCAATGATACTAGTGGTGAAAATGATATGAAATTCCGGCAACTTTTAAAAATAAAATTTATTCCTACAAATTTTTGTTGTCGTTGTTTATTGTTTTTGAGACAGTTTCTGGCTATGTTGCCCAGGTCATAATACAGTGATGCAATCATGGCTCACTGCAGCATCAACCTCCCCGGGCTCAAGTGATCCTCTCACTTCAGCCTCCTGAGTAGCTGGAACCACAGTCACACACCACCATATTCAGCTATTTTTTATATTTTTTTAGAGATGGGGTTTCACAATGTTGCCCAGGCTGGTCTCAAATTCCTGGGCTCAAGCAATCCTCCTGCCTTGGCCTCCCAAACTGCTGGGATTACAGCATGAGCCGCTGCACCCGGCCCAAAAACATTTTTGAATCTCCTTAACTTGTTTCTAAATCACCACTCTTATTTCCACTGACCACTTAAACAGATGACTTGAATTAGTTATAAAACTGCTCTGGCTGTTTAATAGATTTGATATAAAATACTTTTACATTATAATAGATTTGTTTTAGATATGAGTTTTTCTTTTTGGGAAAATGATATTAAAATAAATTTTACTTATATTTTTAAAAAAATTTCTCATTTTATTGATAGGGTATGTTTTAAAAATAAGATTCTAGTCTTCCATTAATTAAAACTTGTGCTAAAAAATTAAAAAGGTTAGCCTTTCAATTTTAAATACCAAATATAGAAAACATACATGTTAATTTACAGAATGTGTACTTGATAAACCAAACTTAAATTGAGCAAGGAACAACATGACGCATTTTAAGGCAAATACATAATAAATGCTAAAATGTTGTAGCAATATTCTGGCTTTAAAGAAATATTGATTAAATTTATTAAGACTGGGCTTTGTCTCAACACTTAATGGCAACTATGATTTAAAATTAATTAAATTATGTTTAACGCTACTGTGCATGTCCTTGAAACCTCAGTCAAATTATATGGTCATTAGCTTTCATTTTTATGATAATGAAACAAAAAATACAGTTTCCAAAATATATTTTTCACTAAATCTATGGCTAAAATTGAATTTAAATTTCTAGGTTTTTTTATTTAATCAAAAAGGAATTTTACAATTCAATCAATTGATTGAAACTAAAACTTCAAATTAGGGAGGATTTAATTCAAGCCTGCTATTGTATTTATTATTATTTAAATATAACATGCAGACGCCTAAACTACACAGCAGACACTCTATTAGGTTTTGTATATATAGAATCACACACACATACTCCCCTAGTTTGTGAGAAAGTGCTCTAATATTACAGACACAGATTAAAGTTTAGAGAAATCAACTTGTCCAAGGTTACATAGCTAGTTGCACACACAGAATTTTAAATCATTCTTATGTGACTCTAAAAGAAAATACGGAAGTGAACTGATTAACTTTGCAGTTAAGTTTGCAGGAATACCCTGGGCAACACAGACCCTCTGTCACAGCCAAATGTTTTGTTTCGTTGTTGTTCCTTAAATATGACCAATGCTGTCAATTCTGCAACTATATTCTTGCATTTCCTCATGGCTGGAAGGTCTCATTTTTTTTTCTGTCCTTTAGATATTAATCATCCTTTAAGGCTAACTGAGAGCCACATATTCAAAGAAGACTTCCAAACCATTACACTATTGAACTATCCCAGCTTTTACCTTTCTCGTTTGGGAACTTAGAGACTCAACTTATGGTATTATTAATACTGCCTATCCTCAGACCCCAGAGACAAAACATGCTGTCTACTTTCTCAGTATCCTCCAGAGAGCATGTTATAGAAATTGACACATAGAAATGATCTAGTCAATATTTATTTACTACCAGTTGCTGGTACCTGGAAACATTCTTAGTAGTCTTGGTTTTCCTGGAGTCCTAATATAGTATAGTACAGCCAGAGACCTGTTTGGTTCACAGAATTTAAGTAAACTTCTTGATCTTACGGTGTCTGCTAGCATCATGAGAACAGGCAATGCAATATCTTAAGACCAGTTAAAAGGAATTAGTTTTGAGAAAAGCTTATAGAGGTTACACCACTTTGCCCTTCACAGAATCTTTCATTTCAGCCACAAACCCACATTATCAATTCCCTTTATAAGCTGTGGATGACTTGTCAGGAAAGATAGTAACAGTCAACCAATAAATGGAACATTGTCTCCCTAATTCATTCAGAGATGTTTGCCCATGGAGATACTACCTGGTGATCTTGCCTTACAACATCTTGGGCCCAGAGATATTGCTGAGATTCTTGTATTTCCCCTCTCATGTCCAGCATTAATGTATAAGTCAAATACCCATATTCTGTAAATTCTACACATCTACCAGTAGGCAAGGCTGGAGATCCAAGTTCTTATTATTTAATCAACTAATCAGAAAGGAAGTTCTGGCTGATATTTAGAAGTTCTGTTAACATTTCATAGAAGTAAATGTACAATTTCCCAGAAGAAAAGTATCTTGGGAACACAGAGACCATCTACATGGACAAAAGTAGGGGCTAATAATGATATGTTACCTCTTGATATTTTAGAGAGGCAACATTGCTTAGTGCATAAGAGTCAAGACCTGTGGTTGAAGTCCTGTTCAACTCTGTACTCTCAATATTACCTTAGGCAAATAATTAATTTCTCTACACCTTTATTTCCTTATCTGTATCTATATCTCTGTCGGTTGAGTTACAGAGAGGGTAGCTATGACCATTAAACTAGATATTTTCTGGCACAGAGTAAGTACTTAATATACAAATTTTATATATGTTTCATATATCATATATAATTATATATTAGAGTTGTATATTATATAACAAATATACATTATATAATGTAGTTTGCAAATAAATATTATATAATGCAACATGTAATATTATATAGTATATATAATATATAAATGTAGCATATTATTTAAAAATTAAAAATATGTATAAACATATATTTAGAATAGCTTACTTCAATTTTATTTGAGGAACTCATTTTTTGGCTGTCCACAACATAAGGAGTAATGGATTATTGGTAGATTTTCACAGTCTGATTGTCTTTTATTAGATTTAGATCTTCTTTCTTTCCTTCTCATTTCTAACTTTATTCAGTTTATAGTACTTAGTAGTTTACAAAATATGTTTACATATATCATTGAATTTGATACTCCTAAGAACCCCATAAGCAAAGTATGATCTCTTATTATACATATTCTATAGATAAGAAACTGAGCATCTAGAAGTTAAGTGACTGCTCAAGATCACGTGGCTAGGAGTTTACCCAAAGCCTAAACTTAGGTCTTCTGATTTCTAATCTAGTGTTTCTCCTACTATAATATTTCAGTCTGCTTTTTCCTTTCACTCTAAGGCTTATTATTTTCACTAAATTCAAATTGCCTTTTCTGCTTTGTTAAATACTAGAGTTAGACATTTGTAAAGTTAAACACACACACACATACACACACACACACACGACATTAAGGGCAAGATATATACTTCCAAGGTTTCTGAGAGGTACAGCTTATACAAGGAAAATCTTTTGTAAGAAATTGTATAGATCTACTTATTCATGTGCTGAGTACACATTTTCAATTTTGACTATTGGTATAATTTAGAGAAATTCAATTAAAAAGAAAAAAATAAGTACTCCTCTTTAGGCATTTATTCTGTTCACCTGAAAGTATATTCATAGCCATTTTTTTTTTGTTAATGTTAAATAACAGATCCCTTTCCAGGGATCCTTTCCAGGGATCCGTTAAGTGCAGTCCATGTTAGAGTTAATGAAATAGTACCACAGTTTCAGAGATAATAAATATATGGGGGTAAGGAACTCACATTGCTACGCTTTTTTATTCTGTTTGAAGTGATTTGCTTTTTGAAAAATTGAAAATCAGTGGAAAGCTAGTGAATAAGACTGATTAGATGCAGAAAACCACTTGTGTTCTACAGGTAAATTAGAAAGTTTGTTGCTACAAAAAACATCCCTTCGAAATGTAGGCATACACAATGATTTTTAAAGTTGTTAGAAGAAGTCTGCACATGAGCTGTTCATTTTCTATTTAGAATAAACGATGTGAGTGGTTTTGACTCCTTTCTCCCAGTGGCCCATGCCATACTTCAAATATGAAAGGAAATAAAACTGCAAGCTTTAAGGAAAAGATAAACTCTCATGCCTGCTATATTTGCAGAGTAATCAAGGATTATGGTATATTTATCCCATTTCCTCACTCCTCCCTTCTTGTTATTTCAGTCTTCCTCATCAAAACACTTACTTTTCACTGAATCCTCCAAATTAGCTTCTCATGCATATTCACCGGCAGATCACACAGTGACTCTGTAATGGCTGCAGCCTCTTTGCAATTGAGGCACAGTGGGCCAGACCCCCACCAGGCAGGTTGCCTGTTGCTGGTGTAGGCTCTGGGAGGTGAACATCAGCTTTGTTATTCCAGCTGGGTGCTGCAGTCCTTGAACTAGCAGCTTTAGTCTTCCTTAAGATAGCATCGTCGTTTTAATGAGAGTGAATGCATAGCAATAAATGCTATCCAAGTCACAACTGGAATTCTCCTAAGGGGAGATGACCTTTCATATTTTTAATGAAGATTTATCTTTCAATTTCCATGAAGCAAGTGGCTAGGTATTTTGTTATTTCATACGAAAATAAAAGGCATCTCATAGTAATTTTTTCTTTGAAAATTATTTCTCAAATTTTTAGACTTTTAGTGGAAGCGCTTTTATCTTGGAAGATTCCACTAAAAAAGTAGAATATTTACCACTTTGGGAGGCTGAGGCGGGCGGATCACGAGGTCAGGCTGACCAGCATGGTGAAACCCCGTCTCTACTAAAATTACAAAACAAATTAGCTGGGCGTGGTGGCAGGCGCCTGTAGTCCCAGCTACTGGGGAGGCTGAGGCAGGAGAATTGCTTGAACCCGGGAGGCGGAGGTTGCAGTGGGCCGAGATCGCACCACTGCACTCCAGCCTGGGCGACAGAGCAAGACTCCGTCTCAAAAATAAAAATAAAAATAAAAATTAAAATTAAAATTAAAAAAAAGGAAAAGTAGACTATTTACAAGATTTACAAGTAACCTAGTTGGATTATAACCCTTCCTCCTGCAAATTTATTTTTCTATGATCCTAGAAAGGTCTTCATAGTATAAGGATTCTTTTGGACTTTTGTGTTGGAGATAACAGCTAAAAGAAAAATATCCATCCTCTGACACACATACATACCTCATTGTATTTATTTACTTATTTATTTTTTATTTTTTAATGAACTTATGGCTTCTACTTTCATAGCAACTGACTAGAACTACACAGGAAACTATAGACAGCAACCTTAGTTATTTCCTGGTTTAAGTGATGGGATGTAATCATACTGTATAGTTGTGAATAGATAATAAAATTGCATGACAAAAATGAAATTGAGAACAGACTTCTGCCACCCTTCTGTAATAAACAGTATAGGAACAACACTAGACACTAGAATGATAAGAATGTGTCAGGAATAGCCCAATACAGGAATTCATTTTTTGTCTGCCTTGGCATACTGCATTCTTTATCAACAAAAGTTATTTTTAAAATGTCACATAATAATAATATATGTTGTCCCTTTTTTTAATCTTAAAGGATCACATGTTAAATAAAAGGAACAATTAGTAGACTATATGAATACCTTCAAAGCAATTTTCTAAAACAATAAATGTAGTCAGATTTGAAAATCAATCAATTTAATTATATTTGAAATTATGATAGTAAAAATCTATATAGTCTTAATTATTAGATTATAGTTTACCTATCTTCATTGCATTTGATGAAAAACTTTAAAGTAGAATTATACTTTGATATAATTTAGTTTTACTTAAATTTGTTGTTGCACTAAATTATCAAGCTATATTTTCTTTCCTGGTTATTCTAAGTAGTGTCAAGCACATATCAGAAAACCCACTAAATTGGTACTTTAACTTTTAAAAACAGTCTTATTAGTGCCATGTGGTTTAAAACTTAGCTTAATTCAAACAGATATAATTTTAACTTAAAACTTTTTTTGGGGGACGGAGTCTCGCTCAGTCTCCCAGGCTGGAGTGCAGTGGCGCGATCTCGGCTCACTGCAAGCTCCGCCTCCCGGGTTCAGGCCATTCTCCTGCCTCAGCCTCCTGAGTAGCTGGGACTACAGGCGCCCGCCACCACGCCTGGCTAATATTTTGTATTTTTAGTAGAGACGGGGTTTCACTGTGTTAGCCAGGATGGTGTCTCGAAAAACATTTTTTATATATTAAAGTGTTTTTCAAATTTGACAATGTAGAAAACTATAATATTTTATTTCAAGAAATGTGTATACCTTAATCCAATTAGCACCTAGATTCTGACCTATGTTGGCACATAGTATGATCAGCCAGGGCACCAGCATCTTGATTACAGAGGTGATTGGATAGATCCACCCATGTCAAGCAGACCCAAATGTTTTCTTTTGACTTCGGGCTTTCCAAAAGATACAGTAGAGATAACAGAAGGATTGATGAAAGGCTGAAACCACACTATGAACAGCATACGTAATCTACTATTAAAAGTTCCTAATTAGGGTAGCAACAAAAACTTTAGTCAGATCTGGATAAGGCAGTATCTCTGGCTGTGTTCTTGTCTGTTTCTCCTCATCCTTTTTCTGTTATTCTCTTAATTTCCTGCAGAGAGGTAGACATTTTAGTCCACCTATTTTGTTAATACAAAGGAGCAGTTTCTTTATATTGTCGTTAATTTACTGATCGTATAGGATTATCAACCTCTTTCATTGCTTAATGTTCAAATTTTAAAAACACTTTTTCATAAACTATGCTTGCTTCTATTGCTCTAACAATATTTGTTCCTATGTTCTACTCTAAATTATGCAGGTTTAAAATCTTTCTCTTATTTTGCTGCATTCTTGTGAAGTCTGCATACAGATTCTTGATTCAAAAAATCATGGTTTCTGTACCTCTTCCTCAGGAGAGGTTTTACAGATTCTACTGATTTTTGGTAGACAGAAACCAACTTTTAACCAGTGTACTACTTGGAAAAACTCTTTCCAAATACTGTAGAGGAAAGATGTTGGGCTTTGAAGCCAAACAGACTTGTGTTTGAAACCTGGTTCCCATGTTTCCAGCTGTATGACAATAGCAATTTACTTCCTAAACTTAATGGAGTAATATCGTATTAATATTTATCCCAAGGTGTGACTGTTTGGATTAAATGAGATTATCTATGGGTGTCCCAAAGTCACGCAAATCACAAGTTCCCATCTTGTTTTTTCTCTGTGGTTACTTCTTTTTATTTTTTTTATTTTTAATTATTTATTTATTTATTTACTTTTTGAGAAGGAGTCTCGCTCTGTCGCCCAGGCTGGAGTGCAGTGGCGCAATCTTGGCTCACCGCAAGGGCTGCCTCCCGGGTTCACGCCATTCTCCTGCCTCAGCCTCCCAAGTAGCTGGGACTACAGGCGCCCACCACCACGCCCGGCTAATTTTTTGTATTTTTAGTACAGACGGGGTTTCACCGCGTTAGCCAGGATGGTCTCGATCTCCTCCTGACTTCGTGATCCGCCCTCCTCGGCCTCCCAAAGTGTTGGGATTACAGGCGTGAGCCGCCGCGCCCGGCCTCTCTGTGGTTACTTCTAATGTTGGAAGTCATCACAGTGAAATTCTTTGTGCTATCTTCACCATGGGAATCTTTCTGTTTATTCCATGCCCAATTACATATATTTCACATTTCAAACTTTATCTTGAGTGAAAAGAAAGAAGGACTAGCTCCTGATATATTCCTCATGGATATTCTCATAAAAATTTGAGTGTTTCTTTTCCAGTAAAGTAAGTTAATCCTTTCCAACGCTCTGATTATTAGCTCAGCACCTCTATGGTATTATAGTTCTTTTTGAAAAATACTGCAATAATTTTCATTTTCATAAATTCAGTGGAAACTGAGTTGCTCCAGGTAGGGTAGCCCAAAGCTGACTGACAACTTCAAAGCTCACAGACAAGGGCAAAAAGCATGTGTGCTGCTCCTTGTGAATAATACTACAGGAAAAAAAGGCAAAATTCCTATTCAGGTAGGTAGATGGTCAAAAGAGTTTCCTACAAGACAGTGTCACGTGCAATTTTATCTACATTGTTATAACTTCCCTACCTGACAAGACAGTGTCAAGATTTGTTAATGAGATGGCCTCACAAGTGTATATTTAAATATTTTATGAAAAGCCATTGTAGCTTTCTATGGATCTGACAGTAGTTAAATGCATGAGCTCCCAAGGCCTATTTCAGGGGCTACGTGTATATATCTTTTTCCTTCCAAAGACAGATGAAGGTGTGCAAGTCACTCTACTGATTTGCAAGGACAAGAAATGTGCTTTTTCTCTAATTCATTCTGATATTAGCTATTGGAGTTCTCTTTGCCCTATTTCAGCACTGTTTGTACATAAATACACCTTATTACTACAGAAAAAAATTCCATGATGAAACCTGAAGTGCTTTAATGCACTGGTCTGTAGACACAGCCCATTTTTTTTTTTCTCTTTACCTTTGATTATCAAGGAGTAATTTGCTCACCAGCAAACACTGGATAATGTAATATATAACTTTCTCTAACAGAACAGAATACAGTGAGTAGGCATTTTTGAACGGTCTGTTTTGATATTTTGGTCCCACTATTCTAAATTTTGGGGATGCTTGTGCGGAGGTAATGCTTAATCTGGTATCAAATAATTGCTATCTGCATCTGTGCTCATTAAATATCATTTTTTAATCCAGAATTTTTTCCTGTACTAAGGACAAAATGAATATTAGGCCTTAGACATTTTTATGTGACATCTAAAAATTGAAGCAGGTATATCTCTAAGTAAACTAATAATGGTTGATGATTTTCATAATAAATGTGCACATTTAACATTTTCCTCTTCAAATTCTAAAGGTTGGAAAGTGAAGGTGAAATCCTATATGAAATTGTCTATATATGCTATAGGTTATAAATCCAGATTATCATTTTAGATTCTGTATGTTGACATGACATGTAAGAACTGATGTTGTATGAAGAGTAATAATAATGATATTAGAACAAAATGTAATTTCCTATCAGCAATGATTAGTATTTAATAATAAAATATATTAATAATTAAACATTTTGAATATAGCCAAAACTTTGAAATAAGAAATGAAACACTTAGGTAATAAATGAGAATTTAGTCACAAAATACTGAAGTAATATTTTAGCTAACTTATTAGCATTTAGCCAAATAATAAGAAAATACTTAGGTTCCACTTACCTAAAAATAAATCTAGTGATGTTTCCAGATGTTTAGAAAATCATTTTCTTTAATTAAGAGATAGATACATTTCTGTGTTGTAATAAAGAATGCAAGGAGATATTTTCTTATAAACCTGAAAAAGATGTCTTCTGAATATTCTGGAATCTGTTTTGACTCATCGGCTCTATTAGACTTTTTAGTTAAGTGTCTGTTTTTAAGAAGATATAATTCATGGTGTACTCAAAATAATACTGTTGGCAGACTGTATATGAGCTGTGGAAAGGATTGCAAACTGTAATGGGAAGTATTATAATAGGGGATCTCCACTCTGCTCAGATACAGGGAACATTTGATAAAATATTTCTTGAATGAATGATTATTTTACATAATTATTATCTAGTATAATGCTATGTTTTCAGATAAAAATATTTTATGTGAAAATATTTTTATCAGAGGTCAACTTTAACGCCACCAAAAAATTGAATAAACATTTTTGTTTTGCTTTCATTTCAGGTACTAGAAAATTACCTTGCATATCATTAATAGTTTATAGGACTTTTATTTGGGAGGTAGTTTTCAAAAAGTTATGATTTTTGTCTAGCTCTGAGCTCTATACCAGCCTCTCCATCCCATGCAATTTTCATATGTCAACCTATTAATTTTGAAACAAAACAAAGATGCATTGAAATATTTCTAAATGTCCATTCTACATCGAGTTCTGCAGGCGATAGTGTTGTTGCATAGGCATTTAAACATTTAAAAACTTTTCTTTTCTTTCTTTTTTTTTTTTTTTGAGACGCAGTCTCAATCTGTGGCCCAGGCTGGAATGCAGTGGCATGACCTCGGCTCACTGCAACCTCCGACTCCCAGGTTCAAGTGATTCTCCCATCTCAGGTTCCCGAGTAGCTGGGATTACAGGCGCCCGCCACCACACCCAGCTAATTTTTTGTATTTTTAGTAGAGACAGGGTTTCACCGTTTTGGCCATCCCGACCTCAGATGATCCCCCCACCTCGGCCTCCCGAAGTGCCGGGATTACAGGTGTGAGCCACCGCACCTGGCCAAAAATCTTTTCAATAAAACGTGAGTTCTGTGGGTTGCTTGGAAAAATATATTCTAGGGTTCTTTGAATTTAAAGACACTAAGTACTCTATTGCAGTCTTGAATATTAAAACTCAAATTCACATTCACATTTTAAGGTTTATGAAAAGTCAAAAAGTCCAGAGGATTATTTAGTCTAGACCTCTTAACCTAGAGCTGCCAAAACGTATTTGAGCAGAAAATCTGTTTTCTCTATATTTCTGTTGTCTTTTTTTTTTTTTTTTTTTTGTAATCCCTAAAAACATCCAAGGAAAGGACATTGAAAATCCCTGGGAAAGAAAGCAATGCCTCCTGAGTTTGAAGACTGGGTCTCCTATCTTTTTTCTTTACAGTCTCAGACTTAGGGATGTCTTTCTTTGGATAAACTATTTACTTCCTTCATTTTCTTTACTTGATCTTTCATAATGGGTTACATTGCTATTAACCAAAACTATGAAACATGAATAAAGCTGAGAAAACCATCAGTCAAGTAACAGGAAAGTGCGCATATTTGCCCATACTATGGACATCCCAATGTTCCCAGCGGGCAGGGGACAAGGAGGACATGAACATATTCTCCAAAGCCAGGGGAGTTTCAATAACATTTTTAAAGTAATATGTTGCCATTATGGTTGTCAAAACTATAATGGCACTATGTTAGATAAAACAGTATGAAAAGCAATATCATAAAAAAGTAGATAAAGGATGGCATGATTTTATGTGTTGAATTCCCCAAGATATAGTACATTTGTTTTTTTCCTTGTGACCTTGGACAAAAGTAACGATATTCTATAAAAATGTGGTTTGTATAACTGGAGTTAGTGTCAGGGGTAAAATGAAAGTTGGAACAAGCAGAAAAAGAACTATGTATGGAAAAGAAAGAAAGGATTGTTTAACAAACTGGTGATATGGGTTTCTGTGAAACTTGTGTAGATAAGCTGGAAAAAGATGAATGATGGAGGAGCACCCAACAAATATTAATATATAATGTCAACTTAGGGGTAAATATCAAGTGTTATGCGTCTCTTTGGGTCCTTCGATTTCTCCATTTCGTACAGTGCTTTAGAAAAAGACACACAGATGTGCTCTCCTAAGTTTTTTGTTTGGTTGGTCCTTTTTATTTTTTGAGACAGAGTCTCGCTCTGTCTCCAGGCTGGAGTGCAGTGGCACAATCTCGGCTCACTGCAGCCTCTGCCTCCCAGGTTCAAGTGATTCTCCTGCCTCAGCCTCCCAAGTAGCTGGGACTACCAGTGCACGCCACCATGCCTAGCTAAGTTTTGTATTTTTAGTAGAGACAGGGTTTCACCACGTTGGCCAGGATGGTCTTGATCTCCTGACCTCGTGATCTGCCTGCCTCGACCTTCCAAAGTGCTAGCATTACAGGTGGGAGCCACTGCGCCTGGCCTTTTGTTGTTTTTGGTTTTGGTGATTGGACAAAGAACTCTGGAGAGCTGGAGGGATGACAGAAACATTGCCTGACAGAATTATGACCCAAAGCACAACTCAAGCATATCAAGCGCTCTGAGAAATTTTAAAATATCATATTGAATAGTGTTTAAATGTGCTGTCCTACATTTGATTGGAAAAGGACACCTGCATAAAGACCTAAGAATGATTTAGCGGCAGTGCACACAAAGAGGAGTCAGTTATTTTTACTTATCAAGCTTGCAACAGCACAGTGTGAGGATTTTGCGTTCCTGAGCCTTTAGTGTCAAATTTTTTGTGTGTAAATCCAGGCTCTGACATTAGCTATGTGTTCTTGGTCAGTTTCCTAAGTAAGTGTTTGTCAATTAAATCTTTTCTTCATAGGGTTTTTCTTATTTTGTTAAATAGGATTGTTAAGTGGATTAAATGAGATAGGTGTAAAAAAATGCATGTTATATTATCTGGCACATAAAAAATGTGGTTTATTTCAATAACATTAGATGTTATTATGTTGTCTTAATTGTTTGTATCTGGAAACTTTGTTTCTGGATACGCCATTTAACAAGAAATAGAGGCTCACTGGAACATGCTAAGAGGAAGGAAGAGATACCTGTCCTATGAGGCGTGCTTGACAGGATTCGAGTCTGGAGATAAAGACCATGTCTAAATGTCATTCCAATCCTGGGATTCCATGATTTTAGAGTATTTCTCCTTAATCCCTTCACTTCTCTGTTCTTTAAAACAAAACAAAACAAAACAAAAATAACACGCATTTTTCTTCATAGAATTCTGTGATGAGTTGTATTGGTTTTTGTTTTGTTTTATTACCATACACACACGTTCACGCACACATAGAGCAAAATTATCTAACAATTCCATTTTTGACATAAAGTTAAATTGTTTTAAGTCAGGCATGCAATATTAATTAATACCAACTGGTTCATACATACAAAACAATTAGGCCAGGTGTGGTGGCTCAAGCCTATAATCCCAGCACTTTGGGAGGCTGAGGTGGGTGAATAATGAGGTCAAGAGATCAAGACCATTCTGGCCAACATGGTGAGACTCCGTCTCTACTAAAAATGCAACAATTAGCTGGGAGTTCTCGTGCGTGCCTGTAGTCCTAGCTACTCGGGAGGCTGAGGCAGGAGAATTGCTTGAACCTGGGAGGCGGAGGTTGCTGTGAGCCAAGATCGCACCACTGCACTCCAGCCTGGTGACAGAGCGAGACTCCATCTCAAAAAACAAACAAACAAACAAGCAAACCCAAAAATACAACACAGTTTCTTATAAAATGTATGTGAAAACAGAATCTAATTTTGTCTCTCTTTTTCTTTCTTACTTTCTTCTTCATTTTTTGAAAGGAGTGGGAACAGTAGATAATGACCTACTGATTGACACAATTGCTAGACTTTTATCCCCACTACCAGAGGTGGCTACCCGTGGGCTCCAAATCCTATTCTGAAGCATCAGGTTGCCAAGCAAGTTTGCACACTGCCTTTCTTTCTTCCTTTTTCCCCCTCTTGTTTCCCCTCATACATTTTTGTGTCAGAGATTGATAAGTTTTGACAAAAGGCTAGTGGCTTACATTAAAAAGTTAGAACCCCAAAAGCCTTAGCCTATACAATAACTGTTCATTTAAGCTCTAGTGATACATTTACACCCTGGTATGTCAGAAGAACTTTTTTTTCTGTCGCCCAGGGTGGAGTGCAGTGGTGTGATCTCAGCTCACTGCAACCTCTGCCTCCTGGGTTCAAGCAATTCTCCTGCCTCAGCCTCCTGAGTAGCTGAGATTACAGGCGTGCACCACCACGCCCGGCTAATTTTTGTATTCTTAGTAGAGACAGGGTTTCATCATATTGGCCAGGCTGGTCTCAAACTCTTGACCTTGTGATCCACCCGCCTCAGCCTCCCAAAGTGCTGGGATTACAGGCTTGAGCCACCATGCCCAGCCTAGAGGAATTTTTTAAAAAGCTAACACTTTTTAGTAAATATTTACTTGTAATTAATTGTAATTATTGGGGAATAGATTTTTAAAAATTAAATACTTAGGGCTGATCCAATCATTACATTTGTATATTTAAGTACATCCCATTTAAACTTGTCTATTACTATATTAAAGTTATTAAAGCAAGTGAAACAGGAGTGGTGACTTTTCTTTGAGGGAATTTTAATACTGGTGGAAAAGGCCAGATTGCCAACTTTTAAAACTGAAATATGTTGTCAGTGGGAACAAAGTTTGAAAGAAATGTAACACAATTTTATTACCAATGTCTCTAAGGCGATAAAATCTTTCTAAACTTGGTAGAAAAATATAAGAATGCAACTTCCTAGCAGCCACATGGCAGTTAATTTTGGCAATCTGTTTTGGGCCATTGTAACCCACAAATATCAATAATAACTGAAATGGCTTAAATCTTGTCTACCGAAAGGCTTACGAAAAAGGAAAAGAAAGGAGAGAGGGAGTGAATATGGGAGGAGGTGAAGATACACCTTAATGGTGATTCAAGGCTGCAGCATATTCTGTGTACAAATAAATAGGCTTCAACACCTGCTGATGTGCTGGCATCTGGCCTGAAAGCAACCAACATCTGTTTGTAATTTTCAGTGGGAGCCCATGACAGTGAAGAACTGTATACTGTCACTGAATATATGGCCTTGTTAACATACTAAAAGGATCCAGAAGTGAGATCATGAATGGATAATTTGGGACATGTGACTCCCATGTGATACGGTGATAAGATTTGTTGGGTTTTCTTTAAAGGTTGCCATTAGAGTTTTATCCTGAACCATTATTTAATAGACTTTAAACGTTGGAAAGTGCTTTCTAGAGGAAAGCTTATTTTAAAAGAGAATTTTCCCAACCAGCTTACATCTTCCACACTTTTAGGGGATATGTGTTTTATTGGGGTAGATATGGACATTGTACAACAGCTCAAATTTATGTAACCCCCAGTGCCCTTGGGAGAGCCCATGGAGAAGAACCCAGAGTGTGAGCAGGAGTCACAGTGGGGTTGGCTTTGAGCCTCAAGGCAGGTCAGAGGGGTACTTCAGGAGTCCTCCTCCCCTGTCTCTAAAAACGCTGGAGTTCTTGTGCTTCTTGATTATGGCTCCAATTGTGATATTTTAGGCAGTAACTCACCGTTTTGTCACCTTTCCTCTGATACAAGTGCTGATCAAGTTGGTAAACTCCCAGGTCAGAAAATTGGGGAAGACTTTCCTACATTTCTGTTGAGGGAAATGAGGAACTGAGGCCTTAGAATTTCTCTTTACCATTTCCTCATAATCAGGAAAGTTCTAGAGATGATTTTGTAAAATAGTACATTCATATCTATCTCGATGGATCATGACCATTTTTCTAGTTTCACGGATTCAGTGAATGAATTCTCTGTTGTAATTATTTTTAGGTGTAACACTATATGTAGATGATTGATAAAATGCCTAACTCCTAAGAGTGGTGAGGGCTCCACCATAATAACTACACATGATACATCATTACAATCAGGCTTTCATTCAGAATTTCTAAATTTAAGAAATATTACCTATTATTTGATAATCTTATCACCTGCCATCATTCATTTTTGCAAATTTGAAATTTTGTATCTAACTTAGATTGCTGAATTAGATTAGCCTAATATAATAAATTCTTATTACATTATTTTTATTTAATATTTAAAGTGAAGACTATGGAAGGAATTTAGTAATGCTTTTGCTAGTTAAAAACAGTATTTAGTTAATAAAGATAAAAACAAAAATATTGTTCTGCACAGGGGTAAAGAGGTAGGTATCTGTGACTTCTCTTTTATTGGCAGTTAAGTTTTTGCCTAAGTGCTGAGACTAGATTTAGAGCTTCCTTCTACAGAGATTTGCCTACGTTTACAAACATACACATTCCTTTAAAAATATGTGCTGCATTTCCTCAAAAATCTAATTTTTATTTTTTAAGAAGTTCAAAATTTAAAGCACTTCTACTGTGACTGTAGAACAAAATAGTGGTAATAATTATCAAGAATCCAACATGTAGATTTAAACAAGCTATCACAGTTTTCATCTAATTAGACTTTTAAATTTTTTTTGTTTCGTGATTAATTTTAAAATACGTATTCAGGGAATCAAGAAAATTTTCAACTTAAAAAAAGTGGATTTCTCTGTGAATAACATACAAAAAAAGCTTAGTATAAAAATAAAACTCTTGAATATCTACATAAAGGCCATAAACAAGATCAATATTTGTAAAGCAATTTCCTTTGCTCATTAAAAATGCACAAATTTAAACACATTAATATTTAATTTCATTTTTAATTATAAAGAATACAAGTAAAAATCAAGCATGTTCATTTTTGATGGCTTTTGAAAAGTGAAGAGTTTGAAAAAAAGAAAGTGAAAAAAAGTGAAGAGTTTGAAAAGTCAGTCATTTTGTTTTCATTTTTTGACTCAGGATTGCTTGGGAGAGATAAGGACATGTGTATAGATACAGAGACCTGGGTATGGTAAGTAGTGGGAGTAGAAACCCAGGTCAAAGTTGTTGCAGCATAGAAGTCATCATCCAACTAGTCTCCATAGACAATCATTTTAATTTTCTATGCCTGGTTATTAATTATTCTAATAAAATTAGTTATTTGTTCCTAATTTCTTTAATACTGACTACTTTTCACAGTTTTAAAGTATCGCTAAGTTATTTTTGCCCATTAAATAATATTTCTAAGTTATAATATATTTTCCAAGTACCAGAAAGTAAACCCAACAACGTGAAATTAAACTGTGTAATCTTAATTGAGTGAGATGGTAGTTTTGCCTGGAGCCACTAGTAAATCTGTACTTCTCCAAGTGTTAATTAGTGAGTCTGTATTCAATTTTGCTCAGAGAACATTTGAAGCACTCAATATTTAATTTCTTATTATACAATGTCTGTTGCTAGAATCTTGTACCTGCGTCTTAGACACATGCATGTTGTTCATCCTCAGCTCCAGAAAAACACAACCTTAACTAACATACATAAGAATATTATATGCTGTTTATTTTTCAAATGAGGTAGTTAATTGTTTTAAGTTAGATTGTGCTATTTTGAAAAGAAGGGATTCCGTAAGAGGTTACAGTACATTCAGAGTACTTAAAATTTATTTCTACTATATTTTCTTGAATAATTACTATAAGTTGGCATTTTCTATGTGCTGTCTTTTATAAATATCTCCCAAACTTCATTTTATCTCTGCTTTATAAATGAGAAAATTAAAGATTCAAAGAAGTGAATCTGTTCAACATCATCTAACCTGTAAGTTCTAAGCTCCAGGATATGAACTTCAAAACTTATACTCCTTACCACATGTTATGCACTTATAACTGTGGGTTTGTTACTCGCTGTAGACAGTTAGTAAATGTGAATTAAGTCAGATTTTTTTTAAATCCCTGCTCCATTAACTCCCCTTTCAATTATTTCTATTTTCAATAGTATGCTTCCTATTATTTTCCAGATGAAAAAGTCCTTTAAATATTTTTTAACAATGTAAAACAGATGGGCAATTCCTTGAGACTTGGGTCTCCAAAATTGTAGCTGACGTATTTTACTTTGTGTTTATTTATTTGTCTACTAAATATGTTTTTGCTGGGAAAAAAGGTCTGTCCATAGTGATATAAAATCACTCTCCCTAGATGATTTCATTACATATTTGATCCAACAGAGAAATTTCGGGTCTTGATACATTTCACTTGGGAAGGTACATAGCCAATATCTGATTCCCTCTCAATTTTTTTTGTTGTTGTTAAATATTTTCTAAACAAGTATTTTTTTAATTAAGTCTCAAACAGCTACTTCTCAAAATTCCATTCCTTTCTGAGCTCTATAGAGGAAAGATATGATAGGATCTATAAACCTAAATAAGCAAACAGCCATTAGAAATCTTAAAGATGGATTGTATTGATGATAATATAGACACCTATACACCACGCTCCATTGACTAATGAGAATGTTATAATAGGAAGTGCCTCAGACCTCTTTGTGTGCCAAAATGCCAGCCCACTGAGAAGTTAACGTTATGGTCAATAGTGTTTGCAACCCTCCAGAAAGCTCCGTAAATTGAACAGACTGTTAACCTTCACTTAAGCTTTCACATCAGTCTAACGGGTGCTCTGTT